>NC_000009.12:102311461-102462976 GCF_000001405.40 Homo sapiens
ACCTTTCTAAGAATCCCAGATTCTACACTCCATACCCGCATTTACTGTTCAGACCTCTTATGAAGTTGATTTAGCCCTACAAGTCTCGCTGTGCTTGTCCGTCAACACATAAGAGTTTCCTGGTCTCTGGCTCTTGCCAATTACATGAATCCTTCTTTCACATATCTCCACTCCCCACTTCCCCTACCCTTGCATTGTGCCATATTTCGGCTATCAAGAACAACTATCATTTGGTTATTTTTCCCCCAAATGTTTTCCCTTTGTCCATTTGATACGGTGCTCTTTATTTATGTATTCTCTGAGTAATCCACACTTTTGGCTCAGGACCTCAGCTCCCTATATATCTCTTAAGTCTTCTTTTTTGATCAACATTTTTTGGTTGTTATCATCAAAATTTCAACTCTAGCATTATTTTATATTTAACAAGCACAATTTGGCATTTGTGCCAGATGTTCCAGTTTTCTCCCTAGCCCTGCTATACCAGCATGGTCAGTGTAATCTCAATCCAACTAGGCTCCAGTGATATGATATTAAGTATCTCCTTCCTGAGGTTCAGACTTAGATATTTTCAGCAGTATTACTTACCAAATACATTTTAATTAGAAATAAATATGATGAAACAGCCAATAAAACTGGTTATTATCAGTCAAAGAGTACAAGTATTTTAAGGTTTTTTGCTATATGTTGTTTCCCAGAGGGTACTAACAGTTTTCATTATGCCTAGTAGTATGTGAGTGAATTCATTTTACTGGACCAGACAGGCAGTGTAAATTAATTTTTAAACATTTCCTTATGCCAAGAGTGTTTCCCTTATGATGCAAAAACAGTTATAAGTTCTGAACCATCTAGGAAGAGATGATAAGAGGCTGTCTAACATTAGATCTCCATTTTACTTCTGTGGATGGCTGAAATCGCCTTAGTATCTCATTGTTAGAATCTCCCTTTCTGGAAACATTTTTTGATGATTACATTTATTGCACTGTCTGGTTTTATATCTTAGTTTTTGTTCTCTATGCCTTCTTAGATAACCCTTAGCTTCTCATGGTACTCCCTATCAAACTATTCTGATTAATTCCTAATATGGTTTGGTTGTGTCCTCACTCAAATCTCACCTTGAATTGTACCTCCCATGTGGGGTGGGAAGTAATTTAAATCATGAGAGAGGGTTTCTACTGTGCTGTCCTCATGATAGCAAACAAGTCTCACAAAATCTATGATTTTATAAAGGGCAATTCCCCTGCACATGCTCTCTTGCTTGCCACCATGTAAGACATGCCTTGCTCTTCCTTCACCTTCTGCCATGATTGTGAGATGCCCCCCAGTGATGTGAACCTGTGAGTCCATTAAACTTTTATAAATTACCCAGTCTCAGGTATTTCTTCAAAGAAGCATGAAAATGGAATAATACAGTTAATTGCTACCAGTAGAGTGCAGTACTGGTATAAGGATACCTGAAAATGTGAAAGCAACTTTGGAACTGGGTAAGAAGCAGAGGTTGGAACAGTTTGGAAGGCTCAGAAGAAGACAGGAAAATGTGGGAAAGTTTGGAACTTCCTACAGACTTGTTGAGTGTCTTTGACCAAAATGCTAATAGTGATATGGATGATAAAGTCCAGGGTGAAGTGGTCTCAGATGGAGATGAGGAACTTTTTAGGAACTGGAGTAAAGGTTACTCTTGCTATGCAATGAGACTGGCAGCATTTTGCCCCTGCCCTAGAGATTTGTGGAAATTTAAACTTGAGAGAGATGATATAGGGTATCTGGCAGAAGAAATTTCTAAGTGGTCAAGTGTTCAAGAAGAAACAGAGCATAAAAGTTTGGAAAATTTGCAGCCTGACAATGCAAGAAAAAAAAAGCCGGCCGGGCGCGGTGGCTCACGCCTGTAATCCCAGCACTTTGGGAGGCCGAGGCGGGCGGATCACGAGGTCAGGAGATCGAGACCATCCCGGCTAAAACGGTGAAACCCCGTCTCTACTAAAAATACAAAAAATTAGCCGGGCGTAGTGGCGGGCGCCTGTAGTCCCAGCTACTTGGGAGGCTGAGGCAGGAGAATGGCATGAACCCGGGAGGCGGAGCTTGCAGTGAGCCGAGATCCCGCCACTGCACTCCAGCCTGGGCAACAGAGCGAGACTCCGTCTCAAAAAAAAAAAAAAAAAAAAAAAAAAAAAAAAAGAAAAAAAAAGCCAATCTTCTGGAGAGAAATTCAAACCTGCTGCAGAAATTTGCATAAGTAACAAAGAGCCAAATGTTAATTATCAAGACAATAGGGAAAATGTCTCCAGGGCATGTCATAGACCTTTATGGAAGCCCTCCCCATCATAAACCTAGGGGCCTGGAAAGAAAAAATAGTTTAATGGGCTGGGCCCAGGGCCTCTCCTGCTATGTTTAGCCTAGGGACTTGGTGCCCTGCATCCCAGCCTCCCTAGCTGTGGCTAAAAGAGACCAAGATATAGCTTGGGTCGTGGCTTCAGAGGGTGAAAGCTCCACACCTTGGCAGCTTTCACATGGTGTTGAGCCTGCAGATGCACAAAAGTCAAGAATTGAGGTTAGGAAACCTCTACCTAGATTTCAAAGGACGCATGGAAATGCCTGGATGTCCAGGCAGAATTTTGCTGGAAGGTCGGGGCCCTCATGGTGAACTTCTGCTAGGGCAGTGTAGAAGGGAAATGTGAGGTTGGAGCCCCACACAGAGTCCCCATGGGGCTATGAGTAGAGGGCCACTGTCCTCCAGACCCCAGAATGAGAGATCCACTTACGGCTTGTACTGTGTGCCTGGAAAAGCCTCAGACACTCACTGCCAGCCCATGAAAGCAGCCAGGATGGGGGCCGTATCCTGCATAGCCACAGAGGTGAAGCTGCCAAAAGCCATGGGAGCCCACTTCCTGCATCATCATGACCTGGGTGTTAGCCATGGCATCAAAGGAGATCATTTTGGAGCTTTAAGATTTGATTGCCCCACTGGATTTCAGACTTGCATGGGGCCTATAGCCTCTTCATTTTGGCCAATTTCTCCACATGAAATGAGTTTATTTACCCATTGCCTGAACCCCTATTCTATCTAGGAAGTAACTAGCTTGCTTTTGATTTTACAGTATCATAAGTGGAAGGGACTTGCCTTGTGTTTCAGATAAGACTTTGGACTTGGACTTTTGTATTAATGCTGAATGAGTAAAGACTTTTGGGGACTGTTAGGAATGCATGAGTGTGTGAGGACATGAGATTTGGGAGGGCCATGGGCAGAATGATATAGTTTGTCTCTGTCCCCATGCAAATCTCATCTTGAATTGTGGCTCTCATAATCTTCATGTGTTGTGGGAGTGACCTAGTGGGAGCTAATTTAGTCATGAGGGTGGTTACCTTCATGCTGTTCTCATGATAGTGAGTTCTCACAAGATCCGATGGGTCTATGAAGGGCAGTTCCCCTGAACATGCTTTCCTGTCTGCCACCATGTAAAATGTAGCTTTGCTCCTCCCTTGCCTTCTGCCATGATTCTGAGACCTCCCCAGCCATGTGAAACTGTGAGTCCATTAAACCTCTTTTTCTTTACATATTACCCAGTCTCAGATATTTCTTCATAGCAGTATGAAAATGGACTAATACAATTTCTATAGTTGTCATACTGACTTGCATCCTGAGCTTGGTAGCCCACACTCAAGCTTGCCTTTTGAAATGGAAAACATCACTTTTTGCCCTCTCTACCCTTTTTCACTTTGCTCCATTTCTAGAAAAGCTAATTTCTTCGCATTGATTTAACAAATTATCTTGCTTTCTAACTTTCGGTTAGATATAGGCAAGAAGTCACATTGACAGACTGTACTAAAGACTTACTATCTTCAGTAACTTACCAATTTGTGGTGTCTGATGTCTTTTCTCTGGGGTTTCAATGAACCCAGGGTTTTGTATTTCAGGCTAAGTTTAGAGTATTGATTTTCTAAGATTTAAGCTGAGTAAAGGTTATTACTGTATATCTAGCCTTTTGTTGACTAGCTCTATGACCACTTGGAGCTACAAAACACCATCAAGTACATGGGTCTAGATTTTTTTTTCTTTTCTTTTCTGTTTTCTTTTTTATTTTATTTTTTTGAGATGGAATCTCTCTCTGTCACTTAGGCTGGAGTGCAGTGGTGCAATCTCAGCTCATTGCAACCACCTCTTGGGTTCAAGCGATTCTCCTGCCTCAGCCTCCTGAGTAGCTGGGATTACAGGTATGTGCCACCAGGCCCGACTAATTTTTTGTATTTTTAGTAGAGACGGGGTTCCACCAAGTTGGTCAGGCTGGTCTCGAGCTCCTGACCTCGTGATTCACCTGCCTCAGCCTCCCAAAGTACTGGGAATAAAGGCGTGAGCCACCGCACCTGGCCTGGGTCTAGATTTTTATAAGCAGTTTTGGATACAGGGCCAGTTCCAAGAGAAAAATTAATCCAAGACATTCTCATCTTTCTCTTTCCTCTCTTCCATCCTTACACACACACACACACAGACACACATACATACACACACACACACACGCACACACAGACACAGTTATATCTTTATGTCAAGAACCTGAATAGTAAAATTGGTATATTCTACATAGGGCATAAACACAGAATACAAAAAGAAGAAAAAAATTGCCAGTAATTAAAACTAAATATTCAACAGCACCATAACCAACATAATAAAAATAAAATTATAGATATAGAATTTTTCACCTAGCAAAATGAAACAGATAAAAAGATAACATAACATCCCATATTTGCCAAAAAAAAACAGGTTTTCTCAAGATCCAGTAGTACAGTAGAAAGCTGAGACAAACTTTGCAGAAGCAATTTGACAATATTTATCAAATGCATTAACTCTACTCTTGATGTCTCAATAATGTTATCTCTAGAGATTTATCTTAGAAGAATTATCATGGTGTGCACAAGAATTTATGACAGAGCTATGAATAAGAGCAGCACACATATGAAAACAAACTATACGTCCACAAATAGGGATTTGAAATACATATTATAATATGCCTGGCTCATATACCATTAAAATTATGTTTTAAGAATAATATTTATACTTCCATTTTTAGCTATCAAATGAAAATAACTTGAAAGTTTTCACAAGAAAGAAAAAATACAACTGAAAATCAATAGCTTTTCTTTTTTGGACCAATGAGAGAACCAAGTCTCAAGGTAAACTACTATCCTGCAATCTGAAAAGACAGGTGAATTCAGCACCACAGTCAAGACTACCTTATCTGGGGCATACTCAGCTAGAGCAGAAACTGATAAGAACATTTATTTAGCAATTTTGGTGAATTATTGGAGGCTGAATGTGGACTAGCTTAAGTGTGAGAAGGTCTTTGAAGCTGCAGTTTAGGAAGGTCACCACATTTTTACTGGGTTTTGCCTCCAGTATTCCCATCAAGTGCTCACAGTGAAGAGCCTAGAAAGCTTCTATCCAGGGTCTGGCAGATGATCTGGATGAATAAACACTTTGAAATATGCCCAGAGTTTTCTACATAACAAAGCCTGGCTCTCCAGAGGAAAAGATTACCATCCTGTGGAGGGACATTTCTTCAAATTTAGCTTTCCCATCTCACCTAAGAGGCTAAAAACAAGGAAAACACACTTGTAAAGGCCATGTCCCAAGTACATAGGTTCCCTAAAGGACTTTGGTTAATTCATAAAGTTATTTTATCACAAAGGTATTTTATCCCACACCTTAATACAACAGGAATACAACATAATTTCAAAGAGATACAAGTCATTCAGACTATCAAAGAAGGACTTCTTAGGCAAACACAAAAATAAATAGGAAGACAAAAATAGACAGTAGAGTAAATTGCATCTATGGCTATCACTCAGAACCGCTCAACTATATGCAAACTGAACAACCTGCTCCTGAATGACTACTGGGTACATAACGAAATGAAAGCAGAAATAAAGATGTTCTTTGAAACCAACGAGAACAAAGACACAACATACCAGAATCTCTGGGACACATTCAAAGCAGTGCGTAGAGGGAAATTTATAGCACTAAATGCCCACAAGAGAAAGCAGGAAAGATAGAAAATTGGCAGCCTAACATCACAATTAAAATAACTATAAAAGCAAGAGCAAACACATTCAAAAGCTAGCAGAGGTCAAGAAATAACTAAAATCAGAGCAGAACTGAAGGAAATAGAGACACAAAAAACCCTTCAAAAAATTAATGAATCCAGGAGCTGGTTTTTTGAAAGGATCAAAAAAATTGGATAGACCGCTAGCAAGACTAATAAAGAAGAAAAGAGAGAAGAATCAACTAGATGCAATAAAAAATGATAAAGGGGATATCACCACTGATCCCACAGAAATACAAACTACCATCAGAGAATACTACAAACACCTCTATGCAAATAAACTAGAAAATCTAGAAGAAATGGATAAATTTCTCAACACATACACCCTCCCAAAACTAAACCAGGAAGAAGTTGAATCTCTGAATAGACCAATAACAGGCTCTGACATTGTGGCAATGATCAATAGCTTACCAACCAAAAAGAGTCCAGGACCAGATGGATTCACAGCCGAATTCTACCAGAGGTACAAGGAGGAACTGGTACCATTCCTTCTGAAACTATTCCAATCAATAGAAAAAGAGGGAATCCTCCCTAACTCATTTTATGAGGCCAGCATCATCCTGATACCAAAGCCTGGCACAGACACAACCAAAAAAGAGAATTTTAGACCAATATCCTTGATGAACATTGATGCAAAAATCCTCAATAAAATACTGGCAAACCGAATCCAGCAGCACATCAAAAAGCTTATCCACCATGATCAAGTGGGCTTCATCCCTGGGATACAAGGCTGGTTCAATACATGCAAATCAATAAATGTAATCCAGCATATAAACAGAACCAAAGACAAAAAACACATGATTATCTCAATAGATGCAAAAAGGCCTTTGACAAAATTCAACAACTCTTCATGGTAAAAACTTTTAATAAATTAGGTATTGATGGGACATATTGCAAAATAATAAGAGCTATTTATGACAAACCCACAGCCAATATCATACTGAATGGGCAAAAACTGGAAGCATTCCCTTTGAAAACTGGCACAAGACAGGGATGCCCTCTCTCACCACTCCTGTTCAACATAGTGTTGGAAGTTCTGGCCAGGGCAATTAGGCAGGAGAAGGAAATAAAGGGTATTCAATTAGGAAAAGAGGAAGTCAAATTGTCCCTCTTTGCAGATGACATGATTGTATATCGAGAAAACCCCATTGTCTCAGCCCAAAATCTCCTTAAGCTGATAAGCAACTTCAGCAAAGTCTCAGGATACAAAATCAATGTACAAAAATCACAAGCATTCTTATACACCAATAACAGACAAACAGAGAGCCAAATCATGAGTGAACTCCCATTCACAATTGCTTCAAAGAGAATAAAATACCTAGGAATCCAGCTTACAAGGGAGGTGAAGGACCTCTTCAAGGAGAACTACAAACCACTGCTCAATGAAATAAAAGAGGATACACACACATGGAAGAACATTTCATGCTCATGGGTAGGAAGAATCAATATTGTGAAAATGGCCATACTGTCCAAGGTAATTTATAGATTCAATGCCATCCCCATCAAGCTACCAATGACTTTCTTCACAGAATTGGAAAAAACTACTTTAAAGTTCATATGGCACCAAAAAACAGCCCGCATTGCCAAGTCAATCCTAAGCCAAAAGAACAAAGCTGGAGGCATCACACTACCTGACTTCAAACTATACTACAAGTCTACAGTAACCAAAACAGCATGGTAGTGGTACCAAAACAGAGATATAGATCAATGGAACAGAACAGAGCCCTCAGAAATAATGCTGCATATCTACAACTATCTGATTTTTGACAAACCTGAGAAAAACAAGCAATGGGGAAAGGATTCCCTATTTAATAAATGGTGCTGGGAAAACTGGCTAGCCATATGTAGAAAGCTGAAACTGGATCCCTTCCTTACACCTTATACAAAAATCAATTCAAGATGGATTAAAGACTTAAACGTTAGACCTAAAACCATAAAAATCCTAGAAGAAAACCTAGGCATTACCATTCAGGACATAGGCATGGGCAAGGACTTCATGTCTAAAACACAAAAAGCAATGGCAACAAAAGACAAAATTGCAAATGGGATCTAATTAAACTAAAGAGCTTCTGCACAGCAAAAGAAACTACCATCAGAGTGAACAGGCAACCTACAAAATGGGAGAAAATTTTCGCAACCTACTCATCTGACAAAGGGCTAATATCCAGAATCTACAATGAACTCAAACAAATTTACAAGAAAAAAACAAACAACCCCATCAAAAAGTGGGCGAAGGACATGAACAGACACTTCTCAAAAGAAGACATTTATGCAGCCAAAAAACACATGAAAAAATGCTCACCATCACCGGCTATCAGATAAATGCAAATCAAAACCACAATGAGATACCATCTCACACCAGTTAGAATGGCAATCATTAAAAAGTCAGGAAACAACAGGTGCTGGAGAGGATGTGGAGAAATAGGAACACTTTTTATACTGTTGGTGGGACTGTAAACTAGTTCATCCATTGTGGAAGTCAATATGGCGATTCCTTAGGGATCTAGAACTAGAAATACCATTTGACCCAGCCATCCCATTACTGGGTATATACCCAAAGGACTATAAATCATGCTGCTATAAAGACACATGCACACGTATGTTTATTGCAGCACTATTCACAATAGCAAAGACTTGGAACCAACCCAAATGTCCAACAATGATAGACTGGATTAAGAAAATGTGGCACATATACACCATGGAATACTATGCAGCCATAAAAATGATGAGTTCATTTCCTTTGCAGGGACATGGATGAAACTGGAAATCATCATTCTCAGTACTATCGCAAGAACAAAAAAACACCGTATATTCTCACTCATAGGTGGGAATTGAACAATGAGAACACATGGACACAGGAAGGGGAACATCACACTCTGGGGACTGTTTTGGGGTGCTGGGAGGGGGGAGGGATAGCTTTAGGAGATATACCTAATGCTAAATGGCGAGTTAATGGGTGCAGCACACCAGCATGGCACATGTATACATATGTAACTAACCTGCACATTGTGCATATGTACCCTAAAACTTAAAGTATAATAATAATAAAATAAAAATAAAAAAACAAACAAACATAATACAGTCCAATTCCTAGACAGATTAATACATAAACCCACACAAAGGATCTATTTACTTCCTATTACCAAATATATTATGTCTAGTTGAACAAAATGTATAAGACATCTTAAGATACAAGAAAAATTACCCAGGCTTAAAGGACAAATCAAACATCAAAATCAGAATCAAAATAAAATACATTTTATCAGAGAAGAAATTTAAAAACATTATGTTAATATACTAAGAAATCTTATTGTAAAAGTAGACGATGTACAGAGTAAATGGCTAACACAAGCAAAGAGAAGAAATTGTAAGAATCAAAAGGAAATAGTAGAAATAACACTCTAAAGGTAATAAGGAATGCTTTTGATGGGTTCATTAGTATGTTGAACTTGAAAATATATCAATATACATTTCCAAAAATAAAATGCAAAGAAAAATAAGAAAGAAAAAGAGAAAGACCAGAAAAGAGGGTCCAAGAACTGTAGCAATTTTACAAGTTGTAACATATGTATAACTGAATGATCAGAAAGATAGAACAAAGCAGAAGAGATAATTGAATGATTAGAATTTTCCAAAATTAGTGACCAATCCAAACTGTAGATTCAGAAAGCTCAGTGAACACCAGTCAGAATAAATACTGAGGCTGGGCATGGTGGCTTATGTCTGTAATCCCAGGACTTTGGAAATACGAGGCAGAAGGATCACCTGAGGTCTGGAGTTCGAGACCAGCCTTGCCAATATTGTGAAACCCTATCTTTACTTAAAAAAAAAAAAAAAAATTAGCTGGGCATGGTGATGCATGCCTGTAATCCCAGCTACTCAGGAGGCTAAAGCAGGAGAATCACTTGAACCTGGGTGGCGGAGGTTGCAGTGAGCTGAGATTATGACACTGCACTCCAGCCTGGGTGACAGAATGAGACTCTCTCAAAATAAAATAAAAAAATTCTACATATAGGCATATTATTTTCAAACTGCAGTTAAAATAATAAAGCCAAAGAGGAAACTTTTTACAAAGCTAGTGAAAACATCTTACCTAGAGAAGAACAAGTATAATCAAACTTCTCACAGAAACATTGATGCCAGCAGGAAGACAATGTAGTAAAATACTTAAAAGTGTTGGGGAAAAAAATACCAGGAATTCTATATCTAATGAAATTATCCTTCAAAAGTAAAGCAGAAATAAAGACAAATAAAAATGAAAGCAATTTATCAGCAGCCTTGTTCTGTAAGGAATGTTATAAAAATTTAGACAGAAAAAAATATTATATAGGTCAGAAACCTGGAACCAAAAAAATAATGTCAGTGAAGGAAAAAATAAAATATTTTATTTTTGTTATTCTTAACTAAAATGTAATTGTATTTAAAGTAGTAATGGTAAAAATGTATTAGGTGATTATATCATATGGATAAATGACATAAATAACAATATCATAATAAGTAGAAAACAGGGTATGAAAATAACATAAGATGCCTTCACTATATATGAATAGATATTGTCTTATTTGAATGTAGACTCAGATTAGTTATAAATACATTTTCCAAAACCTAGGGAAACCACTAACTTTTAAGTACAGTTTATATAGAATAAAGGAGGTAAAATAGAATAAAATAAAATGCCTAATTAAAACCAAAGAACACAGAAAAATAGCAGATGCAAAAAAGACAATTAAAAAATGCAATGAGTGGAAAACAATTACAAAAATGGTAGATATTAATCTAATGTTATTGACATTTAATGTGAATTGTCTAAATATGCTAATTAAGAGATTTTCAAATTGAATATAAAAAACAAGATTCAACCATATGATTGTATGAGAAACCTACCTTAAATACAAAGACTGAGATAGGTTTAAAGTAAAGGGATGGAGAAAGATATACGATGCTGGCACTAATCAAAAGAAAGCTACTATAGGATATTAATTTAAGACAAAGTGGACTTTAGAACAATGCTAATTATCAGAAATAAAGAGGCATTACATATTGATAGAGGGGTCAATTCTAAAAACAAACAAACAAACAAACAAACAAAAACAGACTATTCTAACTATGTATGCACCTAATAAGAGAACATCAACATAGTTGCATCACAAACTGATAGGATTGCAAGGAAAAATAGACAAATTCACTATTTTAGTTGAAAACTGCAACAACCCCTTTATAGTAATTTATACGTGAAGCAGGAAAAATATCAGAAAGAATATCCTGACTTGGAAAGCATCACCAACCAACTTGATTTGATTGCTCTTTTTAGAATACTCAATCCACAACAGCAAGAGTACGTATTTTATTTGCTCACATGAAGCATTCACCAAAATAAAAATAATAATAAAAAAACATTGTGGATCTTAAAACAACTTTTCATAAATTTAAAGTAACAGAAATAATAGAAAACATATTTTCTATGAGATCTCAGTGGAATTAAAGTAGAAATAAATAACAGAGAGATAGTTGGAACATTTCTAAATATTGGAAGATTAAACAAGACATACTTAGGTAACATACGGATTAGTAAAGAAGTCTCAAGAGAAAATTTTAAATATTTTGAAGTAGATGAAAACGAAAATACTGTTTATCTAAATTTGTTGGATGTTAGGAAAGCAGGCTGAAGAAAATGTATAGCCCTGAATGCATACAGAAATGCATGTAGATGAAAAGAAAGTTCTAAAATCAACATTCAAATCTTCTGTTTTAGGAAAGCAGATATAGAAAGGACATTTAAGTATAAAACACCAGTAAACACCAGACCTAGTGGTTTCACTAGATCTGAATGATGAGATCCAGGTGGTTTTATTGGTGAAGTTTACCAAACATTTGGGATAGAAATGATATCAATTCTTGAAAATCTATTCCAGAAAATGGAAGCAGAGGGAGCCAACTCATTTAATAAAGCCAGCATTACCCTAATTGCAAAACCTGATAAATAAATTTTTAAGCAGAACTGTTAAGCAGAAGACCTTACAATGGTTATAAATTCCAGGGGAACACTCTAAACCTTCTTCCTATTGTATCTTGGCATTGAAGGCACCAAAGAAAACACAATGCAGTCAACTACTAAATGGAGCTACACTTTACTTACATAGGGAAGAGGCAGAGCAAAATCAGCTTCAATAATGTGCATGAGTCCTCCATAGATAGTGGGTCCCTCTCTGGCAGCCAACACAAGGACTTGGCTACATGCAACACTCTTGTACCTCATTAGAAAAACCTTGTTCCTTCCCCACAGAGGACAGATATATAGTGCAGTTGGCCAGGTGCCATGTGACCCACATGCTTAAGCAGAACAGAAGAATATACCTTAAGCTTGCAATAGAGAAATATATTTCCGCACAAGGTGATAAACCCAGCACGGGCTATGTGAGCTCTTTATCTCCTTGTAAGAAAGTGATTTAGGTCCAAGGTCCATTTGTACATAGCCAAGCAGGCGTAGAAAGACTGTGCATATGAGAATGCCTTTTGGAACAGGTATCACAAAAAGGAACTAAAAAAGATAAGCTGAAAAATTTTCCTTCCACCCTCTAAAAAAAGGTGTCTTCATCCTAATCCCTGGAACCTGTAGTGTTATCTCATATGAAGGGTAAAAAATGGTCTTTGCAAATATAGCTAAATATCTTGAGATGGGGAGATAATTTATTATCTTGAATTACCTGGATTGGTTCTAACTGCAGTCACATATATTTTAACAAGTGGAAGAAAGAGGGGCATTTGATGCACACAGAAGGGAAAGCAATGTAAAGATGCAGCAAAGATTGCAGTGATGCAACTATAATCTAAGGAATGAAGTCAGGCACTATAAACTAGAAAAGAGAGGGCTGAGATACTTCCATAGAGCCTCTGGACGAAGTATAGCCCCACCATCACATTGGTTTCAGCCCAATAAAACTGATTTTGGACTTCTGGCTTCTAAAACTGTGAGATAATTTTGTGTTGTTTAAGCCACAAAGTTTATGGTATTTGATACATCAGCCATGCGAAATTAATATAGGATGCCACAGACCAATGTCCCCCATTAATATAAATGCAGAAGTCCTCATCAACACATTAACAACTGAATTCATCAATATATAAAAATAATTATTGATATGGTTTGGCTGTGTCACCACCCAAATCTCATCTTGAATTGTAGTTTCCATAATCCCAACCATGTCATGAGAGGGACTCATGCGGAAGTAATTGAATCAAAGGAGCAGTTCCCCCATGCTGCTGTTCTCATGATAGTGAGTTCTCATGAGATCTGATGTTTTTTTAAGGGACGTTCTCTCCCCACCCCCGTCACTCATTCTTCTTCCCGCCACCATGTGAAGAAGGATGTGTTTGCTCCCTGTTCTGCCATGACTGTAAGTTTTCGGAGGCCTTCTCAGCTTTGTGGAACTGTGAGTCAATTAAACCTTTCCTTTATAAACTACTGAGTCTCAAATACATCCTTATAGCAGTGTGAGAATGAACTAATACAATAAATTTGTCCCAAAGAGAGTGGGGTGCTGCTATTAGGATACCTGAAAATGTGGAAGCAACTTTGGAACTGGGTGACTGGCAGAAGTTGGAACAATTTGGAGAGCCCAGAAGACAGGAAAATGTGAGAAAATTTGGAGTTTCCCATAGAGACTTGGAGGGCGAGGAAGACAGGAAGATGTGGGAAAGTTTGGAACTTCCTAGAAACTTATCGAATGGCTTTGACTAAAATGCTGCTAGTAATATGTACAATGAAATCCAGGCTAGGGTGATCTCAGATGGAGATGAGGAACCTGTTGGGAACTGGAGTGAAGGTTACGCTTGCTATGCATTAGCAAAGAGACTGGCAACATTTTGGCCCTGCCCTAGAAATTTGCGGAACTTCGAAATTGAGAGAGATGATTTAGGGATCTGGTGGAAGAAACTGCTAAGTGGCAAAGCATTCCAGAGGAAGCAGAGCATAAAAGTTTGGAAAAAACAGCCTGACAATAAGATAGAAGAGAAAATCCCATTTCTCTGTGGAGAAATCCAAGCCTGCTGCAGAAATTTGCATAAGTAGCAAGGAGCAGAATGTTAATCACTAAGACAATGGAGAAAACATCTCCAGGGCATGCCAGCGACCTTGATGGCAGCCCCTCCAATCACAGGCCTGGAAGCCTATAATGGAAAAATAGTTTCACGGTCCAAGTTCAGGGCCTCACTGCTGTGTGCGTCCTCGGGACTGCGTCCCAGCCACTCCAGCCTTGGCTAAAAGGGGTCAAGATACAGCTCAGGTCATTGCTTCAGAGAGTGCAAGCCCTAGCTCTTGGCAGCTTCCACACTGTGTTGAGCCTGCAGGTACACAGAAGTCAAGAATTGAGGTTGGGGAAGCTCCACCAAGATTTCAGAGGATGTATGGAAATGCATGGATGTCCAGGCAGAAGTTTTCTTCAGGGGTAGAGCCCTCATGGATAACTTCTGCTAGGGCAGTGTGGAAGGGAAATGTGGGGTTGGAGCCCCCACACAGAGTCCCCACTGGGGAACTGCCCAGTGGAGCTGTGAGAAGAAGGCCACCATCCTCCAGAACCCAGAATTCAAGGTCCACTGATAGCTTGCATTGTGCACCTGGAAAAGCTGCAAACACTAAACACCAGCCCATGAAAACAGCTGTGAGGGGGCTATACCCTGCAAAGTCACAGGGGTGCAGCTGCCCAAGGCTGTGGGAGTCCACTTCTTGCATTGGCATGACCTAGATGTGAGACATGGAGTCAAAGGAGATTATTTTGGAGTTTTAAGGTTTAATGATTGCTCTATTGAATTTCAGACTTGGATGGGGACTATAGCCCCTTTGTTTTGGCCAATTTCTCCCATTTGGAATGGGGTTATTTACCCAATTCCTGTACCCACATTCTATATAGAAGGTAACTAACTTGCTCTCATTGTACAGGATTATAGGTGGAAGAGACTTGCCTTGTCTCGGATAAGACTTTGGACTTGGGCTTTTGGTTTAATGATGGAATGATTAAAGACTTTGGGGAACTTTTGGGAATACATGATTCTGTTTTGAAATGTGAGGACATGGGATTTGGGAGGGCACAGGAGTGCAATGATATGGTTTCGCTGTGCCCCCACTCCAAATCTAATCTTGAATTGTAGTTTCCATAATCCCCTCATGTCATGGGAGGGACCTGGTGGGATGTAATTGGATCATGCTGCTGTTCTCATCATAGTGAGTGAGTTCTCACAAGATCTGATGGTTTTATAAGGGGCTTCCGCTCCTCTCCTTCACTGATTCTTCTTCTTCCCGCCACCATGTGAAGAAGAACATTTTTGTTTCCCCGTCTTCCACGACTGTAAGTTTTCTGAGGCCTTCCCATACCTGAGGAACTGTGAATCAATTAAACCTCTTTCCTTTATAAATTACCCAGCCTCTGGTATGTCCTTATAGCAGCCTGAGAATGAACTAATACAATTATTCAACACAGTCAAATGGAATTTACCCGACGTATTTAAGGCTGATTACCACTTGAAAACCAATTAATATACTCCATTGTATCAACAGGCCAAATAATTATATTAATTGATGCAGAACTAGCATTTCACGAATTTCAATAACCATTTATACTTAAAAATTTCAGGAAACTAGAATAGAAGGGAACTTTCTTAATTTGCTAAAGAATGCCTCTGCAAACCTACAGTTAGCATCATATTTAATGGTGAAAAACTGGATACTTTCCACCAAAGAGTGAGAATAAATGTAAGATACGTTATCTCACCATTTCTCTGCTACATTGCACTGCAAGTCAAAACTAGTACAGTAAGACAAGAAAAATAAGGAAAACATATATAAATTAAAAAGCAAGACACTAAACTATCTTTATTTAGAAAAAACATGATTGTCTATCAAGAGCATTCTAAAGAATCAATTTTAAAACCTTGGATTTTATTAATAAGTATAGCAAGTTTTCTGAATATTAAAAAAAAGTAATACTGCTTGTGTCCTTTACCCACTTTTTAATGGTTTTTTTGTTGTTGTTGTTGATGTTGTTAATTTGTTTAAGTTCTTTCTATATTCTGGATATTGGGCCTTTGTTTGATGCACAGTTTGTAAATATTTTCTCTTGTTCTGTAGGTTTTCTGCACACTCTGTTGTTAGTTTCTTCTCCTGTGCAGACACCAAAAGCAATTGTAGCAAAACCAAAAATTGACAAATGGGACCAAATTAAACTAAGAGCTTAAGGGGAGTATTTCCAGCTTTTGCCCACACAGTATGATGTTGGCTGTGAGTTTGTCATAGATGGCTCTTATTATTCTGAGGTCTGTTCCTTCAATGCCACGTTTGCCGAGGTTTTTTAACATGAAGGGATGTTGAATTCTATCAAATGCATTCTTGAATGTATTAAGATGATTATCTGTTTTTTGTTTTTAGCTATGTTTATGTGATAAATTACATTTATTGATTTGCATATTTTGAACCAATCCTGCATCCCCAGAATAAAGCCTACAAACATATGAAAAAATACTCAACATCACCAATCATTAGAGAAACACAAATCAAAACCACAATGAAATATCATCTCACACCATCAGAATGGCTATTAAAAAATAAAAAAAAACGACAGATGTTGTCAAGGTTGTGGAGAAAAGGGAATGCTTATACACTTCTGGTGGGAATATAAATTAGTTCAGCCATTGTGGAAAGTAGTTTGTTTATTTCTCAAAGAACTTAAAACAGAACTACCATTGACCCAGCAATCTTCTTATTGGGTATATATCCAAAGGAATATAAATTATTCTACCATAAAGAAGCATGCATGCAGATGTTCATCACAGCACTATTCACAACAGCAAAGACATGGAATTTACCTAGATTCCTATCATTTGTAGACTGACTAAAGAGAATGTGGTACATATACGACATGAAATACTATGCAGCCAAAAAAAAGAACAAGATCATGTCCTGTGCAGCAACATGGATGCAGCTGGAGGCTATTACTTTAGAGGAACTAATGCAAAAACAGTAAACCAAATACCGCATGTCCTCACTTATAAGTGAGAGCTAAACATTGAGTACATATAGACACAAAAAAGGGCAAAAAAGACAACAAGGCCTGCTTGAGGATGGAGGGTGAGAAATGAAAAACTACCTATGGGGTACAATGTTTATTGCCTGAGTGATGACATAATCTATACACTCAACAACTGTGACACAAAACATATTGATATAAAGAACCTACACATGTCCACCTGAACCTAAAATAAAAGTTAACTGTAATCCCAGCACTTTGGGAGGCCAGTGAGGGTGGATTGCTTGAGCTTGAGTTGCTTGAGCTTGAGTTCAAGACCAGTCTGTGAAACATGGTAAAACCTGGTCTCTACAAAAAAAAAAAATTAATTAGCTGGGCATGGTGGCATGTGCCTATGGTTCCAGCCACTTGGGAGGCTGAGGTGGGAGAATAGCTTGATCCTAGGAGGTTGAGGCTGCAATGAGCCATGATCATGCCACTGCATTCTAGCCTGGGCAATGCAGGGAGATCCTGTCTCAATAAATAAATAAATAAATAAATAAATAAATAAATAAATAAAAGCTTTTAAAAAAGAAATAATTAGGTATAAATCTAACAAAATATATACAGGCTTTTTATAAGATAAATACAAAATTCTGATGAAAGGAATCAAAGAAAATATAAATAAATATAGAGGGACTTCATGTCCATGTATTGAAAGACACAATATAATTAACCTATCAATTCTTCCCAAATGATCTCCAGATTCAATCAAACCTTGGTCAAAATATCATCAGCAAGATATTTTACAGATATTGGCAAATGTATTCTAAAATTTATATGGAGAGAAAAAAGACCTAGAATGGCCACAAATAGTGAAGCAGAATTACAAATTTGTGTGATGCACATTACACAATTTCAAAACTTGATGAAAAGCTACAGTAACCAAGAGAACATAGTTTTGGCATAAGAAAAGATAAAAAGCTGACTAGAACAGGATACAGGTCCCAGGAATAACAAATATAGTTAAATGATCTTTGAAAAAGAGTAAGGGCAAGTTATTGAAGACAAAAGAGTCTTTTTTTTTTTTTTTTTTTTTTTTTTTACCAAATCATGTCAGAACAATTGTATGTTCATCAGCAAAACAAAAACAAAGCAATACAAAACCTAGACACGGACCTTATACATTTCATTAAAACAAACTCATAATAGGTCCTACAAAACACAAAACTTTAAAACTTCTAAGTAGTAAATACAGGAGAAAATCAAGATGTTCATAATTGGGCAATAAGTTTTAAAACAAAATTCCAAAAACACGATCCTTGAAAGAAAAAATACGACAATATGAACTTTATTACAATTGAAAACACTGCTCTGCAACATGCAGCATTTAGAGAATAAAGAGATAAGCCAAGGTTATAGCTGATAAAGGGCATTTATCAAAAAATACTGAAAAAGGCCGGGCGTGGTGGCTCACGCCTGTAATCTCAGCACTTTGGGAGGCCGAGGTGGGCGGATCATGAGGTATCGAGACCATCCTGGCTAACAAGGTGAAACCCTGTCTCTACTAAAAATACAAAAATTAGCTGGGCATGGTGGTAGGCGCCTGTAATCCCAGCTGCTCAGGAGGCTGAGGTAGGAGAATGGTGTGAACCCAGGAGGCAGAGCTTGCAGTGAGCCGAGATTGGACCACTGCACTCCAGCCTGGGCAACAGGGCAAGACTCCGTCTCAAAAAAAAAAAAAAAAAAACTTAACACTTAAATGCAAACAATTCTATTAGAAAATGTGTGAAAGATCTGAACATCTACATTACCAGAGTATATAAGATATCAAAATGTACTTAAAATTAAATTTCATTAAAAAATTACAAATTAAAACAAAAATGAGATAGCACTGCACACCTGTAGAAGGGATAAAACCCCCTTAAAAAATCCACAATATCAATTGCCAATATGAATGCAAAGCAACAGGAACTCTCATTTGTTGCTGGTAGTAATGTGAAATTATACAGCTGCTTTGGAGGACATTTTGCAGTTTCTTGGAAAGTGAAATACAGACTTATCATATGACCCAGCAATTACATTTCTGAGTATTAGTCAAACTTATTTGAAAACTCATATCTACACAAAAATATGCACCGAGATTTTTATGTTGACCTTATTCATTCCACTTGATTTTAATTATATACTAGTTTGGAAAAGACAAAACTATAGAAACGGTAAAATATCAGTGGTTGTAAGGTGTTCCATGAAACGTAGGAAGTATTGAAGAGGAGATGCCCAGGAGAATTTTTAGAGTGGTGAAACTATTATGTTTAATAATTGTGGCTACATGACACTATTTGCCAAACCACAAAGAACTTTACAGGATAAAGATAAAACTTTACTACATTCAAATTTTTTAAAAGTATATATTTAGGAGGTTGAGGAATCCCAGAAATTGATGCAGAATGTGCCAAAACATTTTAGCTGTGATATAAACAAACGAACAACCTCATTGAATAGGGTGAAAAGAAAAAGTTGTTCAATTAAGTAACTTTGGAAGGCTAAGGGTGAGGGAATTATATGTAAGTTCTACCTATTTGACAAAGTGGTTTCCACAAGGATAAAGATTAATAAGTCTAATAGAGGCGTACCTAAGAGATATTTTGGATTCAGTTCCAGACCACCACAATAAAGCAAATATTGCATTAAAGAGAGTCACGTTACCTCCTTGATTTCCTAGCGCATATAAAAGTTATGCTTACATTATATCATAGTCTATTAATTGTGCAACAGCAGTAAGTCTGAAAAACAATGTATATACCCTAATTAAATATGCTTTATTGCTAAAAAATGATAACAATCCTCTGAGCCTTCAGTGAGTTAAAATGTTTGCGTTGGAAGACAGTCTTGTCTTGATGTTGATGGCTGCTGGCTGATAAGAGGGGCAATTGCAGGTTGGGGTGACTGGCAATTTCTGAAAATAAACAATAAAGTTGGCTGCATTGATTGACTTTTCCTATCACAAAGACTTCTCTGTAGCATGTAATGTTATTTGAGAGTATTTCACCCACAGTAAAACTTCTTTCAAAATTGAAGTCAGTCCTCTCAGACTTTGCTGTTACTTTACCAAATAACTTATGTGATATTATAAATATTTTTTGTCATTTCAACACTGTTCACAGTTCTTTATCAGCAGTAGATTTAATCTCAAGAAACCACTTTTCATACTCATCCATAAGAAGCAACTCATCTGTAAATTTTATCATAAGGTTGCTGTAATTCAGTCACATCTTCAGGCTCGCCTTCTAATTCTAGTTCTCTTGCCATTTCTATCACATCTGCAGTTACTTCCACCACTGAAGCCTTGAACCCCTCAAAGACATCTGTGAGGGTTGGAATTAACTTTCTTTTAATTCAACTTTTGTTTTGGATACTGTGCAGGTTTGTTACATGGTTATGTTGTCCCACGGTATTGAGCATAGTACCCAATAGGTAGTTTCTCAACTCACACCCTTCTATTGCTCTTCCCCCTCTAGCAGTCCACAGTGTCTATTGTCCCCATGTTTATGTCCATGTGTGCTTAAATGTTTAGCTTTCATTTATAAGTGAGAACATGTGGCATTTGGTTTTCTGTTTCTGCATTACTTCACTTAGGATTGTGGCTTCCAGCTCCATCCATGTTGCTACAAAAGACATGATTTCATTCTTTTTTATGGCTGCATAGTATTTCAAGGTGCATATGTACATTTTTTATGCAGCCCACCATTGACTGGCACCTAAGTTGATTTTGTGTCTTTGCTATTGTGATTAGCGTGGCAATGATGAACACAAATGCAAAAATCCTCAATAAAATAGTAGCAAACCAAATCAAGCAGCACTTCAATAAGTTAACCCAGCATGATAAGGTAGGCTTTATTTCTTGGATGCAAGGCTGGTTCAACAAATGCCAATCAATAAATGTGATTCACCACGTAAACATAATTAAAAGCAAAAAACCTGTTATTATCTCTATAAACACAAATAAAAGCTTTCAATAAAATCCAACATCCCTTCATGATAAAAACACTCAATGGACTAGGCACTGAAGTAACATACCTCAAAATAATGAGACATCTATGACAAATTCATGACCAACATCATACCAAACGGCAAAAGGTGGAACCATTCCCCTTGAGAACCAGAACAAGACAAAGATGCCCACTCTCTCTATTTCTATTAAATGTAGCACTAGAACTCCTAGCCAGAACAATCAGGAAAGAGAAACAAAAGGCATCAAAATATACAAAGAGGAAGTCAAACTATCTATCTTTATGGGTGATATGATTCTATACCTAGAAACCCCTGAAGACTCCAAAAAGGCTACTAGAAATGATAAGTGTTTCTAGAAATCAATGTACAGAAATCAGTAGCATTTCTATACACCGGTAATGTCCAGGGTGAGAGGTAAATCAAGAAAAATATCCCATTTACAGTAGCCACAAAGAAAAGCAAATACAGCTAGTCAAGGAAGTAAAAGGTTTCTACAAGGAAAACTACAAAACACTGCTGAAAGAAATCAGATAAAACACAAACAAATAGAAAAATATTCTACGTTCAATTTCTTCCAAATTCCTGTTAATGTTGATATTTTACCTCTTCCTATTATCATGAATGTTCTTAATTACATCTAGAATGGTAAATCCTTTTTAGAAGATTTTCCATTTATTTTGCCCAGCTCCATCGGAGGAATTGCTATCTATGGCAGTTATGGCCTTACAAAATATATTTCTTGTTTAATAAGACTCTTAAGTCAAAATTAGTTCTGGATCCATGGGCTACAGAATGGATGTTGTGTTAGCGGGTGTAAAACCATTAATCATCAGAGCTCTTAATTTACCAACTGCATTGTCAATGGGCAGTAAGAATTATGAATTGGCCTAATATCAATATTCTTGTGTCTCAGGGAATAGGGAGGTCCAAAGGTAAGGGAGAGAGACAGGAGAACGACCGATCAGTGGAGCAGTCAGAATTCACATAACATTTATCAAATAAGTTAACATCTTATATGGGAGTGTATGGAGCCACAAAATGATTAGAACAGTAACATTAAAGATCACTGATCATAGATTTCCATAATAAATATAATGATTTTGAAACATTACAGGACTTACCAAAATGTGACAAAGAGATGTGAAGTGAGCACATGCTGTTGGAAAAATGACACTGATAGACTTGCTTAATGTAGGGTTGCCACAAACCGTCTATTTATAAAAAACAGTATCTGTAAAGAGCAATAAAGCAAAGCACAATAAAACCAGTAGAAAACAGTTATTTGTGAGTATCCACTGATATAAATAATGGAATAAATAAATTAAGAAGATACAAATCTCCATTGCAAAAGAATTCCAAATATTTATGTAAATACTTTCTCTTAAGGAGGAGGTGGACATAACTGCCCACTCTTTAAGGATGAACTTCAAGCAGTGTTTCTGTTCTAAAAAATACAGCATGAAACGTGGCAAGTGAGGGAGTGGAGAGTAATTTTAAAGTGGAGAAATTTGACAAATAGTAACTCAGCCAGGTGATCAAGGTCTATATCAATAATGTTGAGTCATGTTGATCAAAAAAACTTTAGATTTCATGTAATTAAATGGCATTTCTGTGGTTTTCTTTTCCAAAACCTATAGCCCCAGTCTACTCATAAGAAAAACATTCCAGCTGAGGGGCATCCTACAAAATACTTGGCCAGCAGTCCTCAAACCTATCAGGGTCTACAGGAACAACAAAAATCTGAGAAACTGTCCCATCCAAGAGCAGCCCAAGGAGAAATGATGACTAAATGTAATATAGTATCCTGGAAGGGATCCTAGAATTGAAAAAGGAAGTTAACACAGACTTTAATGATAATGTAACAATATTGGTTCATCAATTATAACATATGTACCATAATTTAAAATGTTAATAAAAGGAGAAACTGCATTCCAGGTTTATGGGGATGCTTAATATTATTTTTGTAATTTTTGTAAATATAGAACTGTTTCATATTAAAGTTCTTTAAAATTATATTAAAATATTTTATTTATATTATAAATAATATTTGATATGGGGAAGAGAATTTCTAAGTATAATAAAATGGCATATATGTATATTTGGAACTTTTCATTTGTGGAGATATTAATATTAGTTTTTAAATTCTTATTAGAAATACATATGAAATTAGATGATGAACACAAAATATTAACAGTGATTATCTTTAGGTGGTTGAATTTTGGGGGAAAAAAGATGTATTAAAAATTTCTAATCTCATAAAATGAGCATAAATTATCAGCAAAACCAGTAAATCACAAACACAAATTTATTTCAAGGAAGAAGAAAAATAATGCATCTATCAAAATCAGCTTATTCCAGGAATTATCTTGTGTCTAGCAATAGCACAGTAGTTCTTTAGATTAACTATACTTCCCTCCTTCCTTTAGCTTATCCCACTTAATTGCTACAGTCTAATATCTCTAGGAATGACCTTTTATTTTGCAGAATTTTCAGTTACATACTACTCCTGATAATATCTCTGAAGATGTATTTTCCCCGGGAGCTGTTTACAGAGTTTTCTACCCTTCCCTTTAGGCATCCCAAGGCATGCAGATTTTCTCTTTCCTCCCCTAGACGAAACACTCATACAGATATGTGCAAGGGTTTGCATACATGCATGCATACACACATACTCGCAGACACACATTGTTTTGTCTGCTCTTCAACCAGTGCCAGAAAATCATAATGGTCTTTTCCAAATGATTCTGATATAGTTCAATGGGAAGACATCCAGGATGAGAGGAGATAAGACATGCATCCTATCTAACAACTGACTGGCTAGCAGCAGATAGGTCAAAGGCTGAAAACCTGAAGCTCTGTTAGGGCCTGGCAATCCCAAGTGTAGTAACTGCCAGGAGCAACTCATCTTTGGAAGAAGCATTTTACTGGCAACAAACTCAATTTCAGTTACTGGATAAGTCAAATTTGCTGATTTATTTATTTGTCTGTTTTCCTGACAGATATTATTTTTCAATGCTTTTCCATGTTATTTGACATTACTTTTAAATCATATTTTAAAAATTATGGCTGCTCTACTGCAAGTAATAAATATTTAATAATCATATTATTTTAGAATCACATTTTATATTTCAAAACAATGAAAATTCTGATCATTCCCCCAGGCATATTCAGTTAATGTCAATTTATCCAACTTAACATTTTCAATAGTAGAAAAATATTAACTTTATAAGAATCAATTCCATTCCAAATATTCAATATTTATTAATAATTATCCATGAGGATCTGTAAGAAGTTTATTCTGTAAAAGTCAGACTAAAACAGAGGAGAAGGACTTTGGGAATTTACTGCATAATCATCATTCTTTTAGCTCTCATGTATCGAGTGCTTACAATGCACCAGCACAGTGCTCAGTGCTTTATATGGTTTATATCATTTTACAAACACCCTATAAACTATTAATTTCATTTCACAAGCAAGGAAACCATGAAAGATAGAGGTTGCATAGTTTGACTCAAATCACACAAATGGAAGAACCAGGATTTGGATGTGGGCATGTTTTTTACCTACTTGATAGAGGTATGACTTACATGCAAAAAGCTGTACATATTTAATATGCACAACCTGAAGAGTGTGAAGTTGAGTGAAACCATCACCACAATGTTTGCATTAACATATCTATTACCTCAGAAAGTTTCTTCTTGCCCTTTTTATTTTTTTAATTACATTTTTGTGATAAGAACACTTAACATAAGATCTACCCTCTTTGCAAATGTTTAAGGGTATAATACAGTTTTGTTAACTGTAGGCACTATGCTGTAGAGTATGAAACTTTATGCTCTTTAACTAATGCCTCCCATTTCCCTTCTCCACAGCCCCTGGTAATCACCATTCTACTCTTTGTTTTTGAGATTTTGACTATTCCAGATTCCTCATATAAATGGGATCATGTAGTATTTGTCTTTCTATGTCTAGTTTATTTAACTTAGCATAATTTCCTCCATGTTCATTCATGCTGTCTCAAATAGCAGGACTCCCTTCATATGTGTTATAGCAGCTTTAGGTTTACAGCAAAATTGCAAAATTGGGAGGAAGGTACACATGTGACCCATATTCCCTCTGTCTCCATAAATACTTGGCCTCCTCCATTATTAAAAATTTCCTACCAGAGTGGTACATTTGTTACAAATGATGAACCTACAGTGACAAATCATCATCTAAAGCCCGTTATTTACATTCAAGTTCACTCTTGGTGTTATATACTCTCTGGGCTTGGACAAATTCATAATCACAAGAATCCACCATTATAGATTCATACAGTGTCGTTTTACTGCCCTAAAAATGTACTGCATTCTGCCTATTCATTCTCCCCTGCCAACTGAACTGCTGGCAATGACTAATATTTTTCTTTTTAGTTTTCTCTCTTCCTGAATATCATATAGGTGGAGTCATACACCTTCTCAGATTGGCTTCTTTCATTTAGTAATATACATTTAAGGTTCCTTTCTATCTTTTCATAGCTTGAAAGCTCATTTTTTAAGCCCTGAATAATATTTCATTGTCTGAAATATTTATACATTTTATACATTCAACCAGTGAAGGACATCTTGGTTGCTTGCAAGTATTCAATTTAAGAATCAAGCTGGGCGGTTCCAAGGTGGCAGAATAGGAACAGCTCCTGTCTACAGCTACCAGCATGAGCAATGCAGAAGATGGGTGATTTCTGCATTTCCAACTAAGGTACTGGGTTCATCTCACTGGGGCTTGTCAGACAGTGGGTGCAAGACAGTGGGTGCAGCGCACCGAGCATGAGCTGAAGCAGGGTGAGGCATCGCCTCACCCAGGAAGTGCAAGGGGTCAGGGAATTCCCTTTCCTAGCCAAGCAAAGCTGTGACAGACGGCACCTGGAAAACTGGGTCACTCCCACCCTAATACTGCACTTTTCCAATGGTCTTAGCAAATGGCACATCAGGAGATTATATCCCACGCATGGCTCGGAGGGTCCCATGACCACAGAGCCTCGCTCATTGCTAGCACAGCAGTCTGAGATCAGACTGCAAGGCAGCAGTGAGGCTGGGGGAGGGACACCTGCCATTGCTGAAGCTTGAGTAGGTAAACAAAGCAGCCAGGAAGCTCGAACTGGGTGGAGCCCACCGCAGCTCAAGGAAGCCTACCTGCCCCTGTAGACTCCACCTCTGGGGGCAGGGCACAGCCGAACAAAAGGCAGCAGAAACCTCTGCAGACTTAAATGTCCCTGTCTGACAGGTTTGAAGAGAGTAGTGGTTCTCCCAGAAGAGAGGAGTGGTTCTCCCAGCACAGAGTTTGAGATCTGAGAACGGACAGACTGCCTCCTCAAGTGGGTCCCTGACCCTTGAGTAGCCTAACTGGGAGGCACCCCCCAGCAGGGGCAGACTGACACCTCACATGGCCGGGTACCCCTCTAAGATGAAAATTCCAGAGGAACGATCAGGCAGCAACATTTGCTGTTCAGCAATATTCGCTGTTCTGCAGCCTCCGCTGCTGATACCCAGGCAAACACGATCTGGAGTGGACCTCCAGCAAAATCCAACAGACCTGCAGCTGAGGGTCCTGACTGTTAGAAGGAAAACTAACAAAGAGAAAGGACATCCACACCAAAACCCCACCTGTACGTCACCAGCATCAAAGACCAAAGGTAGATAAAACCAAAAAGATGGGGAAAAACAGCAGAAAAACTGAAAATTCTAAAAATCAGAGTGCCTCTCCTCCTCCAAGGGAATGCAGCTCCTCACCAGCAATGGAGCAAAGGTGGAGGGAGAATGACTTTGACGAGCTGAGAGAAGAAGGCTTCAGATGATCAAACTTCTCCAAGCTAAAGGAGGAAGTTTGAACCCATCACAAAGAAGTTAAAAATCTTGAAAAAAGATTAGACAAATGGCTAACTAGAATAACCAATGTAGAGAAGTCCTTAAATGACCTGATGGAGCTGAAAACCATGGCACAAGAACTAAGTGACGAATGCACAAGCTTCACTGTCCGATTCGATCAACTGGAAGAAAAGGGTATCAGTGATAGAAGATCAAATGAATGAAATGAAGCAAGAAGAGAAGTTTAGAGAAAAAAAGAATAAAAAGAAACTAGCAAAGCCTCCAAGAAATATGGGACTATGTGAAAAGACCAAATCTATGTCCCTGACTAGTGTACCTGAAGGTGACAGGGAGAATGGAACCAAGTTGGAAAACACCCTGCAGGATATTATCCAGGAGAACTTCCCCATCTTAGCAAGGCAGGCCAACATTCAAATTCAGGATATACAGAGAACGCCACAGAGATATTCCTCGAGAAGAGCAACTCCAAAACACATAATTGTCAGATTCACCAAAGGTGAAATGAAGGAAAAAATGTTAAGGGCAGCCAGAGAGAAAGGTTGGGTTACCCACAAAGGGAAGACCATCAGACTAAAAGCTGATCTCTCGGCAGAAACTCTACAAGCCAGAAGAGAGTGGGGGCCAATATTCAACATTCTTAAAAGAATTTTCAACCCAGAATTTCATATCCAGCCAAACTAAGCTTCATAAGTGAAGGAGAAATAAAATACTTTACAGACAAGCAAATGCTGAGAGATTTTGTCACCACCAAGCCTGCCCTAAAAGAGCTCCTGAAGGAAGCACTAAACATGGAAAGGAACAACCAGTACCAGCCACTGCAAAAACATGCCAAATTGTAAAGACCATCGAGGCTAGGAAGAAACTGCATCAATTAACGAGCAAAATAACCAGCTAACATCATAATGACAGGATCAAATTCACACATAACAATATTAATCTTAAATGTAAATGGGCTAAATGCTCCAATTAAAAGACACAGACTGGCAAATTGGATAAAGAGTCAAGACCCATCAGTGTGCTGTATTCAGGAAACCCATCTCACATGCAGAGACACACATAGGCTCAAAATAAAGGGATGGAGGAAGATCTACCAAGCAAACGGAAAACAAAAAAAGGCAGGGGTTGCAATCCTAGTCTCTGATAAAACAGACTTTAAACCAACAAAGATCAAAAGAGACAAGGCCATTACATAATGGTAAAGGGATCAATTCAACAAGAAGAGCTAACTATGCTAAATATATATGCACCCAATACAGGAGCACTGAGATTCATAAAGCAAGTCCTTAGAGACCTAGAAAGAGCCTTAGACTCCCACACAATAATGGGAGACTTTAACACCCCACTGTCAACATTAGACAGATCAACGAGACAGAAAGTTAACAAGGATATCCAGGAATTGAACTCAGCTCTGCACCAAGTGGACCTAATAGACATCTACAGAACTCTCCACCCCAAATCAACAGAATATACAGTCTTCTCAGCACCACATCACACTTATTCCAAAATTGACCACACAGTTGGAAGTAAAGCACTCCTCAGTAAATGTAAAAGAATAGAAATTTTAACAAACTGTCTCTCAGACCACAGTGCAATCAAACTAGAACTCAGGATTAAGAAACTCACTCAAAACCACTCAACTACATTGAAACTGAACAACCTGCTCCTGAATGACTACTGGGTACATAAGGAAACAAAGGCAGAAATAAAGATGGTCTTTGAAATCGACGAGAACAAAGACACAACATACCAGAATCTCTGGGACACATTTAAAGCAGTGTGTAGAGGGAAATTTATAGCACTGAAAGCCCACAAGAGAAAGCAGGAAAGAGTGACACCGTAACATCACAATTAAAAGAAATAGAGAAGCAAGAGCAAACACATTCAAAAGCTAACAAAAGGCAAGAAATAACTAAGATCAGAGCAGAACTGAAGGAGATAGAGACACAAAAAACCCTTCAAAACATCAATGAATCCAGGAGCTGGTTTTTGGAAAGGATCAACAAAATTGATAGATTGCCAGCAAGAATAATAAAGAAGAAAAGAGAGAAGAATCAAATATATGAAACAAAAAATGATAAGTGGGATATCCCCACCAATCCCACAGAAATACAAACTACCATCAGAGAATACTATAAACAACTCTACGCAAATAAACTAGAAAATCTAGAAGAAATGGATAAATTCCTCAACACATACACCCTCCCAAGACTAAACCAGGAAGAAGTTGAATCTCTGAATAGACCAATATGAGGTTCTGAAATTGAGGCAATAATTAATAGCTTACCAACCAAAAAAAGTCCAAGACCAGATGGATTCACAGCCAAATTCTACCAGAGGTACAAGGAGGAGTTGGTACCATTCCGTCTGAAACTATTCCAATAAACAGAAAAAGAGGGAATCCTCCCTAACTCATTTTATGAGGCCAGCATCATCCTGATACCAAAGCCTGGCAGAGACACAACAAAAAAAGAGAATTTTAGACCAATATCCCTGATGCACATCGATACAAAAAATCCTCAATAAAATACTGGCAAACCGAATCCAGCAGCACATCAAAAAGCTTATCCACCATGATCAAGTGGGCTTCATCCCTGGGATGCAAGGCTGGGTCAACATATGCAAATCCATAAATGTAATCCAGCATATAAACAGAACCAAAGACAAAAAACACATGATTATCTCAATAGATGCAGAAAAGGCCTTTGACAAAATTCAACAGCCCTTCTTGCTAAAAACTCTCAATAAATTAGGTATTGATGGGACGTATCTCAAAATAATAAGAGCTATTTATGACAAACCCACAGCCAATATCATAATAAATGGGCAAAAACTGGAAGCATTCCCTTTGAAAACTGGCACAAGACAGGGATGCCTTCTCTAATCACTCCTATTCAAAATACTGTTGGAAGTTCTGGCCAAGGCAATCAGGCAGGAGAAAGAAATAAAGGGTATTCAATTAGGAAAAGAGGAAGTCAAATTGTCCCTGTTTGAAGAAGACATGATTGTGTATCTAGAAAACCCCATCGTCACAGCCCCAAATCTCCTTAAGCTGATAAGAAACTTCAGCAAATTCTCAGGATACAAAATCATTGTGCAAAAATCACAAGCATCCCTATACACCAACAACAGACAAACAGAGAGCCAAATCATGAGTGAACTCCCATTCACAATTGCTTCAAAGAGAATAAAATACCTAGGGATACAACTTTCAATGGATGTGAAGAACTTCTTCAAGGAGAACTACAAACCACTGCTCAATGAAATAAAAGAGGATACAAACACATGGAAGAATATTCCATGCTCATGGATAGGAAGAATCAATATTGTGAAAATGGCCATACTGTCCAAGGTAATTTATAGATTCAATGCCATCCCCATCAAGCTACCAATGACTTTCTTCACAGAATTGGAAAAAACTACTTTAAAGTTCATATGGAACCAAAAAAGAGCCCACATTGCCAAGTTAATCCTAAGCCAAAAGAACAAAGCTGGAGGCATCACGCTATCTGACTTCAAACTATACTACAAGTCTACAGTAACCAAAACAGCATGGTACTGGTACCAAAACAGAGATATAGACTAATGTAACAGAACAGAGCCCTCAGCAATAATACCACACATCTACAACCATCTGATCATTGACATACCTGACAAAAACAAAAAATGGGGAAAGAATTCCTTATTTAACAAATGGTGCTGGGAAAACTGGCTAGCCATATGTAGAAAGCTGGAACTGGATCCCTTCCTTACACCTTATACAAAAATTAATTCAAGATGGATTAAAGACTTAAATGTTAGACCTAAAACCATAAAAACCCTAAAAGAAAACCTAGGCAATACCATTCAGGACATAGGCATGGGCAAGGACTTCATGTCTAAACACCAACAGCAATGGCAACAAAAGCCAAAATTGACAAATGGGATTTAATTAAACTAAAGAGCTTCTGCACAGCAAAAGAAACTACCATCAGAGTGAACATGCAACCTACAGAATGGGAAAAAATTTGGGCAATCTACTCATCTGACAAAGGGCTAATATCCAGAATCTACAAAGAACTCAAACAAATTTATAAGAAAAAAACAACCCCATCAAAAAGTGGGCAAAGGATATGAACAGACGCTTCTCAAAAGAAGACATTTATGCAGCCAACAGACACATGAAAAAATGCTCATCATCACTGGCCATCAGAGTAATGCAAATCAAAACCACAATGAGGTACCATCTCACACCAGTTAGAATGGTGATCTTGAAAAAGTCAGGAAATAACAGGTGCTGGAGAGGATGTGGAGAAATAGGAACACTTTTACACTGTTGGTGGGACTGTAAACTAGTTCAACCATTGTGGAAGTCAGTGTGGCGATTCCTCAGGGATCTGGAGCTAGAAATACCATTGGATCCAGCCATCCTATTACTGGGTATATACCCAAAGGATTATAAATCATGCTGCTATAAAGACACATGCACACATATGTTTATTACGGCACTATTCACAATAGCAAAGACTTGGAACCAACCCAAATGTCCATCAATGATAGACTGGATTAAGAAAATGTGGCACATATACACCATGGAATACTATGCGGCCATAAAAAAGGATGAGTTAATGTCCTTTGTAGGGACATGGATGAAGCTGGAAACCATCATTCTCAGCAAACTATAGCAAGGACAAAAATCCAAACAGCACATGTTCTCACTCATAGGTGGGAGTTGAACAATGAGAAAACTTGGACACAGGAAGGGGAACATCACACAATGGGGACTGTTGTGGGGTGGGGGGAGGGGTGAGGGATAGCATTAGGAGATATACCTAATGTAAATGATGAGTTAATGGGTGCAGCACACGAACATGTCACATGTATACACATGTAACAAACCTGCACGTTGTGCACATGTACCCTAGAACTTAAAGTATAATAAAAAAAAATAAAAAAAAATCAACCTGCTCTATACGTCAATTTGCACATGTCTATGTGGACATGTTTTGAACTCCTTTGTAGAAATACTAAGAAGAGGAATTGCTAGATCATTCCATAATATGTTTAATTTTGTAAGAACTCACCAAACTCTCTACCAAACTGGCTGTACCATTTTTCATGCTGACCAGCAATGAATGAGATTCTTTTGTTCTATCTCCCTCCAGCATTTGGTGCTGTCAGAGTTCTGTATTTTGACTATTCAAATAGTGTGTAGAAGTATGTTGCTTTTATTTTAATTTGCATTTCTCTGCTGACATAAGATGTAGGGCTTCTTTTTATATGCTTATTTTTTCCATTTGGATATATCTGCTGTATCTGTTAGGTTATTGGCCCTTTTAAAAATGGAGTTTGTTTTTTATCTTATTGTTGAATTTTACGATTTCTTTGTATATTTGGAATAGTAATCCTTTATCACATAGGTCTTTTACAAATATTTTTCCCCAGTCTGTGGCTTGTCTTCTCATTCTCTTAACAGTGATTTTTGCAGAGCAGAAATTTTTAACTTTAATGAAGCCCATCTTATCAATTATTTATTTCCTGAATCATGCATTTGGTATTGCATCTAAAAATTCATCTCTAACCCCAAGGGAATCTAGATTTTCTGCTATGTTACCTTTTGGGCTTGTGTGATTATGGGGGCTGGCAAGTGTGACCTTTGGCTGGAAATTCACATGAGTCAGTGCAGTACTGAATTCAAATTCTACAGGGCAGCAGGTTGAAAACTCTGGTAGGGTTTCTATGTTGCAGTCTTGAAGGGACTTCCTTTTCCTCAGTCTTTGTCCCTAAGACTTTCAACTGATTGGATATGGCCTAACTCATTTTATGCAACACAATCTGTTTACTCAAAGTCTACCGATTTAAATTTTAAATACATTAAAAAGCACATTGACAGAAACATCTAGACTAGTATTTGACCAAACAGCTTCACACTATAGCCCTGCCAGGTTGATTAATAAAATTTACCATTCCAGCAACAATTTATATCTGAAAAATGTTTCCAAGCCAAAAACCTGTAGCAAATCGTCAGGCAATACTTAAGCATAATTTAGAAAATATACCTTCAACAAAATTGTAGTATTTAACATTGTGATAATTAATATTAAGAGTTCTAAATAATTAAGGCCATATACCAACTTGGGTCTCCAAAAGTATAATTCTTCAGTCTGTTAAATTTAGAGATCATTTTCTTCTCCCCCATGTAGTCTTGTGAACTTGATACCAGGATCATTGCAGCAGTTGTCAGAAAAATCTTGCCCATCTTTCTCTGTCTGACAGAGTGATGCCTGGTCTTCTCCAATCATGCCCAGTCTGTATTATGGACATGCACCTCCCTTTTTAGCTTACTTTAATTGTCATCTGCTGTCCAACAGAATGCCTCCACAATGGCAATGGATGCAGGTCTGACATAATTAAGAGTATATATAGTGCTATGAACACATTGATGCTAATCTGGCCAGTAAATGTCAAATTATTCGTAATTATAGGCTGCATCTAGGAAATGAAGGTTGGTGGGAATTTTAAATGATTCCCCTTTATTCTCATTACTAGTTGACATATCACTGTAAAAGGAAGTTTTGTAACAAATTCTGTCAAAAAAGCAGGATAAATACTTCTATAATTTGTTCTTCTAAGTTCAGGACAATGCTCATTATTTCTTTAGACATTATTACAAGTCCCTTGTAGAAAGGGCTCAGTTTGTGGAGGTACAAGAATAAATTTCAGATTAAGAGGAAGAAGCCTCCATGAATACAGGAGAAAGTAGAAGAAAGGCCATCTGGAATTCTAGACCTAGAGACTGATCCAAAGACTGTTGGGCTGTCATACCAAGGTATTTGTGCCCTTATTGTAGCAAATAACATATCTTGAAGAACGCTAATTTTACCACTAAAATATTTCTGGTGTTTATTTACAAAATGGTATTTGTAGTGCTTAGTTGCTATCTTTCGATTGTGAATTTCTACTTTGGTCATTCCAAATGCTATCTAAATGCCATGATGTCTGATGAAATATTATACACTCACATAAATGACACTGTTTGTATTAAAATATTTTAAAGTACATTACCAAAGAGGGAAATTTGAACACATGCTACACATGGATGAATCTGAAGACATAATGCTAAGTGAAACAACCCAGTCACATAAAGGCAAATATTGTACAATTCACTATGTAAGGTATCTAGAACAGTAAAATTTAAAGAGATATAAAGTAGAGTTATGGTTGCCAGAAGCTGAAAGAAAGAAGAGAGAATGTTTCTTGAAAAGTTCTGGAGATATATATAGTGATTATTACAGAACAATGTGAATATAACTAATGCTACAGAACTGTACACCTAAAAATGGTTAATGTGGTAAAGGTCATGTTGTACATTTTGTACTACAATATAAAAGAAAGGTCATTGCCACATAATAATATACAGTATGCTATAATCTAATGATAGGTTTTAGCACTGTCCAGTCCTTCCCAGGTAAACATGCTGAGGCTTTCTTTTCCACAGAATCACCAAACGTCTGAGTGTCAAGGACATCATTCCCTGCTTCAGATAAATATGAGCAGCCAGAGCTTTAGGCAAAGTGAAAGGGTATAATTGCCCCTAGAAGGACATGCTAGAAACTGCTGGAGACAATTAACTGACAGCAACCAGAGAAAAAGCCAACCTGAATGCTCAGAATGGGCAATTTTCTGCAACTCTTTTAATGATAAATGATGGTGTTCCATCTTGCATGTGGTTCATGACAATGAAGTTGGGTGACTTTATTCTTCTATCCTTGGTTTCCCAGGAGTCTTTCTAAGATCACACTGGTCTCTCTAATACCTCTCTTCCAGGTTGGGTGAACCTCATGTACAGCATAATAAATAAACAAAATAAATGGAGAGTTGGTGGTTATGAGTACTCAGAAATATACACAACATTGAAGAAACCCACAAATACAAAGATGGACGCATGCTACCTGTGCTAGGTATCAAGTATTTGTGTGAAGATAAAAAGAAGAAATGGGTGACTATCAACAGAGTTGAAATATTGTGGCTGGGCGCGGTGGCTCAAGACTGTAATCCCAGCGCTTTGGGAGGCCGAGGCGGGCGGATCACGAGGTCAGGTGATCGAGACCATCCTGGCTAACACCGTGAAACCCCGTCTCTACTAAAAATACAAAATTAGCTGGGCGTGGTGGCGGGCGCCTGTAGTCCCAGCTGCTCGGCAGGCTGAGGCAGGAGAATGACGTGAACCCAGGAGGCAGAGCTTGCAGTGAACCAAGATCGCGCCACTGCACTCCAACCTGGCTAACAGAGCAAGACTCCATCTCAAAAAAAAAAAAAAAAAAAAAAAAAAAGAAATATTATCTGGTCTATCAGGTCAGATGAAGAAAATAAACATGATAATAATGATAGATAATTAAAGGAATATTTAGTGTAATAATTACAAATATTATTTCTGGACTCTTGCTGTAAATGTCAATCCACTAAAATCTGAGCATTCTGGGGTTTTTTTTTTTTTTTTTTTTTTTGAGACAGAGTCTCGCTCTGTTGCCCAGGCTGGAGTGCAGTAGCTCGATCTCGACTCACTGCAAGCTCCGCCTCCTGGGTTCACGCCATTCTCCTGCCTCAGCCTCCTGAGTAGCTGGGACTACAGGCGCCCGCCACCACGCCTGGCTAATTTTTTTGTATTTTTTAGTAGAGAAGGTGTTTCACTGTGTTAGCCAGGATGGTCTCGATCTCCTGACCTCGTGATCCCCCCACCTCGGCCTCCCAAAGTTCTGGGATTACAGGTGTGAGCCACCGCGTCCGGCCCGTTTGTTTTATTTTTAACTTGCCTAATTGAATATTTTATCTCTAGGCAGCATAAGGAAGCAAACAGGAGTTTCCTTGTTGGAAGCTAATTCTGTTCAACGAAAAAGAAATTATTAATGGAGTGTAAATCACTGGATTCTTACTTCCTGGAACTTATCTTGTTTGTTCTTATCATGTTTATTTTATGCACATTTTATTTTTTCCTGATATGTATGTCCCATTTATTACACCTTGCTTCATCAAATAGTTTATCTGAGCTTTACACAACTCTCCAAGTGCTTATTTAATATATAAAAGTTTCACATCTTAGTAAAATCTACCCATTCAGTTACACACTATAAGGAAAACCATGCATAGCTAAAATATTTCTCTTGTTCTCAAATAATTCACTGTCGGGAGGAAAATGTCATTCTTTCATTCATTTATCTAACACATATATAATAAGCATCTACTTTGCCTGAAGTGCTATTATAGAATCTGAGGTGACAAAGTTTCTGATTTAAGGCAGCTTACAAATTAGTGGGAAAAGAGAGACAGACAAAATGAATTGAGAAGTAGCTTTATAAGATAGTGATAAATTCTATAAGGAAAATTTTTTTAAAAATCAGGTTAAAATGTAGATAATAATGGGTTGATGTGATGTAAAGGAATAAATTTAAAGTGATAAGTTTTGTTTTCTAATTCGATTTTTGCTTACTGAATTCTAACAAATGAGAGCCTCCCAAATTTGCTTTATGAATTCAATATTTCCTTTTTCATAGATTACTTCCTTAATTGGACATTTTGTGGAAAGGATCCTTACAGTTTACTTTTCTTTTTTTTTTTTTTTTTTTTGAGACAGAGTCTCGCTCTGTCACCCAGGCTGGAGTGCAGTGGCGCGATCTCGGCTCACTGAAAACTCCGCCTCCCGAGTTCACACCATTCTCCTGTCTCAGCCTTCCGAGTAGTTGGGACTACAGGCACCCGCCACCACGCCCGGCTAATTTTTTGTATTTTTAGTAGAGAAGGAGTTTCACCGTGTTAGCCAGGATGGTCTTGATCTCCTCACCTCGTGATCTGCCCGCCTTGGCCTCCCAAAGTGCTGGGATTACAGGCCTGAGCCACTGCGCCCGGCCAAGTTTTCTTAAATTAACCGTGTTTTCACATGCATATCAAATTCAATATAACTTAATTTGCTATAATTACATTGGTTTGATTTACATTTTAAAATTAGGCAAAAGAAAGACAAATTGGATATATACATACATTTGTTTTATTAAGTCATGATATTTTTATAACTCAGTTCACACTGGTCTGGGATGAAAACAGGAACACAACAACAATAATAAAAATAACACTAAATACCCAGACTCATGTATGCTTATATATTAAGAACAGAAATCGTTTACAATCACACAATTTATTTTCTATATTAATGTTACTTTTCTATATCACGAAGTTTTAGCCGAGGAAAACAATAGATGTAAAGAACATCATTGTTTCTTCCAAGAACTTCCCAGAAAGTCTTATTTGAATAAATTTCAAACTGTTAGACTTCATAATTGATGGCAATAAGCAACTGTTTACACTCTACAACTCTTCCAAATCTTCACCTTGATTTATTCTGGAATAAAGTTGGGAATTGGCCAACAGGAAAAGTCAGGTTAGCATTACCAGAGAAATGGATAAGACTAATAACCTAGAGTTTTAATCTTTTTGATGTCTTCAAAACACATCTTTCAGGAGCTGTATCCAGAGTCCACAACATGTTGATGGTCCAATAACTGGATCTGAAACTTCAGCTGACTCAGAGATGTCCCAGCATCAATGATGCCTGCTATTGGTTAGCATATAAATATCATAACAATTTGTAGTTTGTTAGATAAAACTAGCCAATAAAATTTATAACTTTATACAAGGATAGTGCTAGTATAAATTTTATATATATGTGTGTAATAGCCACTTCAAAATCAGATGTAGGCTTGATGAGCAAGACCCCAGGTTCTATTGAGAGAAAGAATAAAGTAAGACTTCAGATTAAAAACAAGACAAAGTCTTAACATAATAGAAAATCCACAGAAACAGTGAGCCATTTTAATCTTTGTGCACAGGCTTTTTAACATATTAGTTTCTTCGGTTTCTGTTTTGTTTTGTTTTTATTTGTACTCTGATGCATTTTCACTTTAATCCTTCGTATCTCTATTTTTGTTTTCTTCATGGCTGACTGTTGTTCTTTATTCCCTCTAAAGCACCTTCTTCCTTCACCCACTTGCATATTAATTTAATTTTGTTGACTTCCTTTAAAAATGTCAGCAAAATGGGCAAAGACTTCATGACTGAAACACCAAAAACAATGGCAACAAAAGTCAAAATTGACAAATGGGATCTAATTAAACTAAAGAGCTTCTGCACAGCAAAAGAAACTACCATCAGAGTGAACAGGCAACCTACAGAATGGGAGAAAATTTTTGCAATCTCTCCATCTGACGAAGGGCAAATATCCAGAATCTACAAAAACTTAAACAAATTTACAAGAAGAAAACAAACAAACCCATCAAAAAGTGGGCAAAGGATATGAACAGACACTTCTCAAAAGAAGACATTTATGCGGCCAACAAACATATGAAAAAAATGCTCATGATCAGTGGTCATTAGAGAAATCCAAACCAAAACCACAATGAGATACATCTCATGCCAGTTAGAATGGAGATCTTTAAAAAGTCAGGAAACAACAATGCTGGAGAGGATGTGGAGAAATGGGAATTTTTACGCTGCTGGTGGGAGTGTCAATTAGTTCAACCATTGTGGAAGATGGTGTGGTGGTTCCTCAAGGATCTAGAATTAGAAATACCATTTGACCCAGGAATCCCATTACTGGGTATATACCCAAAGGACTATAAATCATTCTACTATAAAGACACATGCACATGTATGTTTACTGCACAACTATTCACAATAGCAAAGACTTGGAACTAACACAAATGTCCATCAATGATAGACTGGATAAAGAAAATGTGGCACATATACACCATGGAATACTATGCAGCCATAATAAAGGATGAGTTCATGTCCTTTGCAGGGACATGGATGAAGCTGGAAAACGTCATTCTCAGCAAACTAACACAAAAACAGAAAACCAAACACCACATGTTCTCATTCATAAGTGGGAATTGAACAATGAGTACACATGGACACAGGGAGGGGAATATCACACACTGGGCCCTGTCGGGGGCTGGGGGGCGCAGGGAGGGATAGCATTAGGAGAAATACCTAATGTAGGTGACAGGTTGATGGGTGCAGCAAACTACCATGGCAGGTGTATACCTATATAACATACCTGCATGTTCTGCACATGTACCCCAGAATTAAAGTATAATAATAAAAAAAAGTCAGTCAATTCAACCCTGATAACTTTCTTTCCCTGAGGTGGTGCAACTCTGCTAGAAGTTTAACATGAATCTCATAGTAGTTCATTTTTGGGAATGTCTTTACCTTTGAGCACTTAGCATGAAGGTCATTATTCCTTTGAACTGAATATTTTCATAATTCCTATAATGTTGTTATTTGTTTTATAGTTATTTTCCAATGAAGTATTTGGGTATCCAGATCTGTGTACTGCCTTTTGTTCCTTTCATTGTGTATGTGTTAAAGTCTTATTTAGTGTTTGTTGAAGTCTTTTCCTCAGATTAGCAGCTAAAGACCAGGTTAGTGTTTACAGCTTCCAGACCAATTCTGATTTCTAGCCCATAACTGCTTCTCCTCCTGCCTTCATTTCTAACTGACATTGTAAATAATGGGACTAATTAGAACCTGTAATTCCCAAGATTTCCTGCTCCAATCCTCTTTCTGACTCTGCTCTCACAAATTGAAGTGAAAACCACCCTTTCAATTGCCACTCTCCTTTTTTTAATCTGGTAACATTTAAAGACATGAATGGTACTATTAAATCATGCCATCAATAGTTTCTGTAAGAGTGGACTACATACAAAGACAGTAGTCACAATCTGAGTACAAAATTAAACAGTTTTATTTATCAGTATAAGGAGCAAAGGCAGGAGTCTTTTATAGAAAGAATATAAATGTGGATGGTTATGTGGAAGAAGAATGCTTCTCTATTACCTTACATTGATGTCTTGGAAATTAAACTGACTTGATTCGCCCAGCTGATCTTAGTCTCTGAGACCAATAAGCAAAGATGAGAGTAGGATATAGCCTTTTGTAATTCACCCTGGGCTGGAAAAGAGAAAGCAGCCAGCTTTGATTTTGTTTTTTAGGTACAGTGGATTCCTTAATGGTAAGATATCACTCCTTGATTTGTAACAATGTTAAGCCATCAAAACATAAACTCAGAACAGAAACATTTACACTAATAACTATGTCCTACATCACACACACACACACACACACACACGCACACACACACTATCAGTAGTTGAGGCGGAAATTCTAAGCAATAGTTCCAAGGATACTTAAAAAGAAGGAGTTTGTATTGGGCATGAGATGAAGGAAGCCCCAGGAGTTTTGCTGCTTCTTCTCAATTATCTTATTTGATTCTATCTCCAAACAAAGGAAGACTATACAGTAATAAAAAATTAATGTGGACACTCCAAGAGGAATCATTGTTTTATTTTTCTGCAAAGAGAGCTGGCATATTTTCTAGAGTTTAGGGAGAAGAAGATATGACAATACTTCAGCCATTTTTTTCAGGAAAAGCTGTTGGTAATGAACAGCATAATGCGCCAGGAGCATACCTTAGATATGCGTTGCTAAGCTCATAAACAACAGTTTTATAGGTACCGAAAACCTGAGATTTTCATAATAAATTGCCTTTAAACTCACTTTTTAACAGTAATATCTTGTTTTATTTTTATTGTCATTTAGTTGGTATTATATGGACTAGTTGGAAGAGGTCACATCGTATGATGCTAATCAAATGCTTTTTTAAAGAGTAAATTATTTATTCTTTTAAAAAAGAATAGATGCATCTAAATAGCATCTATAATTTCCATTTCTAGTAATAGAATTTTTTAAACATTTGCTTTAAAGTCATATTCTACATATTTAGAGATTGACTAGAGCATCAACAGTCTATACAGGGCACACTTGCGTGTATATGCATCTGTGTGTGTATTCATCTGTGTGTCCATGTGTGTAAAAACGAAATGTTTGTGTGAACAGATGGAATGCACTTGCCTTTGTATCAGCACGTTCACAATATTTTTATATGACAGAACAAATAACTACCAATCAAGTAGAATAAACTATACACTCTATGAGCTTACATTTACTGCATCTGTGTGTGTATGCGTCTGTGTGTCCATGTGTGTAAAAACGAAATGTCTGTGTGAACAAATGGAATGCACTTGCCTTTGTATCAGCACTTTCACGATATTTTTATATGACAGAACAAATAACTACCAACCAAGTAGAATAAACTATACACTCTATGAGCTTACATTTATGTGTTTGTTGTAACAAAAAGCTTGGAATATAGAAAGAACTCAGTAAGTGCTTGCTAAATGACAAATTAGAGATTAATATATTGTCTGAAAATGTCTTTCCATAGTAGACTATGCATTAACATAAAAGAAGATAGTACTAGCAGGAAAAGAGAAGCTAAATTTTATTTATTTCATGTTTGGTTTCTGAAGAACATCTGAGCAAGAACTGTAATTAGCAGTCAAACGAGTAATGTGTTGTGTAGTTGTGCCACAGACATATGTTCATTTAACAACAAAAAAGCAATGCCCAGACCTTAGGAAGATTTTCTATTTACGTCTTCTCCCCTCCACTTCCCTCTCAGTCTGTAGTCAGGGGATAAACAAGGTACCAACTGAAGCTAGAAGTGCTATTAGTAGAATAACATTTAAAACAAGAAGAATAAAACTAAAATCATATGCTGTGACCCAGAACAGTGGTATAATTAAATTTACTGGGGCAGAAAATTTACTTTGGAGATTAATATCACCTTTAGGCACTTTAATGTCTTTTGGTGTAAATAAACACGATAGTACCTTTCCATATGTTTTATATATAATATGTTTACTACAAGTGCCTTCTTAAAAAAAATAAGAAACCACTACTTATAAAACTGAGGTGTATCTAACCCCACCTTTTCTTCACAATTATATTAGCTCTATTGTCTCTCTGAAACTTTATCAAAAAAAAGTCAAAGCAAGATTAATTTAATAATAGCATAATAGCATGAAAATAATAAAAATTGGTCCATCACTAGTAATTGTGTTCTCTTAATATGGGAAACTATTGAGATACACAGTAAGGAAAACAATGTGTTCTCCCTGTTTTGTGAGAGATTGTAACTCACTTGACTTCTGTCTACATTCTCATTATTCCTGCTAAAAGGAAGAGGAGTGAAGTGTCTGGCTGGTGATTGTGCAGTTCTGCCCCTTCCCTTCACCCGTGCCTTTGGGATTTTTGCGCTCTGCTCTTGACCTTGCTTCAAGTTCAGTGAAGGTCTGCTTTAGAGCAAGGTCTGCAGTTTTCTATCAGGACCCCTTATGAAGGGTAAGCCTGCCTAATCCTGGACAAGAGTGTTGTTCCCCCATATCTAATTATCCCATGCACTGGCACCTCAGTTTATTATTGTAAGGTCAGTGTGGTGTTGTTGTTTTAAAGTCAGTAACAAACCTAAGGTTTTTCCATCCAATGGACTGATTTCTCATTTTCAACTGGCTCAGAAGTCAGTAGCAAAAAAAGGGGTTTATTTATTGGGCTCTCTGAAATTCCAGCATTGCAGAAAATGCAATAAACATTTATGCCAAAAACTATTGTTAGGAATAAATTAAAATGTTGAATAATGAAGTTATTCAAAGTCATTAATGCCTAAGAAACATTATTTTTTAATTTTTCTCTTGAATAAAAAAGAGTTATTCTTCCATTTTCTTCAACAAAGAAATGAGTATTCTAACCCTTTACCAAGCACATCCATTCCAGGTATTATGATACTATGCTAAAATAGAAAAGGCAACACCTAAAAATAAATAGTTTAGGTATGTATTGTCTATGTTTCTGTGATGAGGTAATCATTTGTTAACATTGAGTCAGCTCACTGACACCCAGAATTTTTTTCATTGCTAGGAAGTATATGCTCTAGTTCTATGTATGAGCAACCAATTTGTTTGTAAAAAACTATCTCACAGGAAAGAAAAATTATACACTAGCAAAATGGAAGTCTTCCCTTACTTTATTGTCTTCCTAAGACTATTTTACCACTAATCGTGACAATCAATACAAAACACTTGCAAATCCAAATGGTGCATGACTTTGCTTAATTTTAGAATGCAGATTATATTTACATCCCTTACAAAGTGCTTCACAGATTCTTTTACAACTACATATTTAGTTTTAGTCTTATTCATCCATTCTTTAAGAAATGTTGACTGACACCTACACCAAGTGTTTGAAATAAGGTGTACAATAGTGAACGGCGCACATTCACTAGTCACCTGCTCTCATGGGGCTCAGTTTCTATATTTCACAACCTATTTTTGATATGATAGAATATGTTTAAATTATTTATATCGCAAAATAATATTTTAATATGTCATTGCACAATGTGCGATGTTACACATACAGATGAATTACCTTACACTAAACCAAATTCTTATTTGTAGTTTGGCTATTCTCAATTTTTCAGAAATTACAGAAATGGTGTTACAATAACAGACTATATACTATCACTTTTAAAGTATGCCTTTACGTTTTAAGGGTAAATTTTAGATCCAAATTTTAAATATTTTAAAACCATTCACAAATATTGCCAACACACTTAGTCATCTAGTTCAGTTATTATATATATTTCTTGGTTGATTTAGTGCAAAAAAATGTTGTATATGTCATACTAGATATATATAATTTTAATAATAAAATTATATATGGGCAATTAAAATAAATCCTGTATTCTAATCATTTTAAGTTGTTTCTAGATTTTAAAAACATTTTTATTCTCTCAGCTGAAAAAGATATTTAGATGAGCCAACCTTAAGTGAACATTAATATGTGTAACTAGATTTTAATCTACCTCCATATACAAATAGTTCCTGAAGGTATGGTAGCTACTAAAGCACAGTCATCAGTGTTCATTAAAAAATGCCCTATTGAATGGTAAAATCATTTTCAACTTATTGATATTAGGTTATATAGATTATTTCAAAGCTGTTGACTTATATTAGAAGACTATTAAATGTTTTCTGAATGTTTATATAAAATTATTCTAATTCAAGACAGCTTGCTGACATCTCCATAGTATCTCACTGATTTGGAGTGCATGTGGTTATACTTTTCTGAATGTAATTTTTTTGCCCCTAACTCACATGGATCAGTCTTCAAAGTCTTCAAAAGACACAGAAGATGAGCAGATGTGAAAGAATGAAACAAAATGAGAATGTATCTCTAACATCTGGAATATTAATTGTTGTAGGAAGTCAGGGACCCAGAATGGAGGGACTGGCTGGAACCATGGCAGAGGAACCTACATTGTGAAGATTTCATGGACATTTATCAGTTCCCAAAATTAATACGTTTATAATTTCTTATGCCTGTCTTTACTGCAATCTCTGAACATAAACTGCAAAAATTTCATGGACATTTATCACTTCCCTAATAATACTTTTATAATTTCTTATGCCTGTCTTTACTTTAATCTTTTAATCCCATTATCTTCATAAGCTGAGAATGTACATCGCCTCAGGACGACTATTGTACAAATTGATTGTAAAACGTGTGTTTGAACAATATGAAATCAGTGCACCTTGAAAAAGAACAGAATAACAGTGATTTTCAGGGAACAGGGGAAGACAACCATAAGGTCTGACTGCCTGCGAGGTTAGGCAGAATAGAGCCATATTTTTCTTCTTGCAGAGAGCCTATAGACGTGGAAGTAGGAGAGATATTGCTGAATTATTTTCCCAACAAGGAATACCCTGGGGAAGGAATGCATTCCTTGGGGGAGGTCTATAAACGGCTGCTCTGGGACTGTCTGTCTGATGGTGGTTGAGATAAGGACTGAAATACACCCTGGCCTCCTGCAGTACCCTCAGGCTGACTAGGATTGGGAAATTCCAGCCTGGTAAATTTTGGTCAGACCGGTTCTCTGCTCTCAAACCCTGCTTTCTATTAAGATGTTTATCAAGACAATACGTGCACAACAGGACATAGACCCTCATCAGTAATTCTGATTTTGCCCTTGCCTTGTGATCTTTATTGCCCTTTAAAGCATGTGATCTTTGTGACATCTTCCCTGTACATATACCCTCTCCCCTTTTAAAATCCCTAATAAAAACTTGCTGGTTTTGCGGCTCAGGGAAAATCACAGACCTACTGATATGTGATGTTACCCCCGGAGGCCCAGCTGTAAAATTCCTCTCTTTGTACACTTTATTTCTCAGACTGGCCGACACTTAGGGAAAATAGGAAGAACCTACATTGAAACACTGGGGGCTGGTTCCCCGATATTACCTAAAGTTACTGAAAGATAACTTTTATCTTTTTACTCATGGATGAGTAAAATAATCTTAATAACTACCTGAATTACATTGCCAGCTCAGGTCAGATCAATGACAAATTTGAATGGAACATTTTTATATCTGTTTCTGTATCGGACGGTTTCATATTATTATCTAGAAATTTTCATGGTAGACTGCCTATAAATATTAAAAGTGACACTAGGAAAAATGTATTAGTTCTAAACACTTACAAAAGTTCACTCTATTTAGTAATTGCAATTTTAAAGTGTTCACTAATGGTGCTTCAAGTAAGAAAATTTTTTAGCTGGGTAAACATAGATTTAGAAATGTAGGTGATATAGCCCTAGATTAACAGAATTATGTGAATTATCTGACTCTTTGTATGTGTATGTGTATAACATCTAATCTCAAATATTACACTATTTAAATATGTGAAATACTTTTTATCAGATAGACTAATAAATTATTTAACTTTTATTTACCATTCTTACAGATTAAACCCACTCTTAATTAGACTTATTTATCTCTATACTTTTAAAATTATCAAATACTTATAAAATGCTTTGGCAATTATACATTTTATTCTTTAAGGATAAGATGCTATCTGGGTAATTAGATGGGTAATTGATTAAATAGATTTTTGCACTAGCAAAATTAAATAACTTTGGTGTTCTTAATATCTTTAAAGATCACAAATACATAAAATGGAAAGTAGCACCCCTGTGTGAAAAATGTGCACCAATTCTCAAATAGTAATGACAGTTAATTCTTTAGTGCTTACTATGTACCAGGTACCATGTTATTTATATTGAAGCTTCAAATCATACCTTTCCCTTTGCGCAAATATGTTCCCCATGTTGTGCATGAGGAAACTAAACACTGAAAATGTACAAACTTAAGTAAGTTCTTACATCTCGCAAGTAGTAGAGTAAGGGTTCAAGTCCAGGCAATCTGACTTAAGACACATTTTATTGAACATTGTGCTGAATAAAATATTATATTATAAAATATATTTCACATCATAAGAGGGGATAGTAACAGAATTTCTTAAGAGGAGAAATTCAGGACTCAAATTTAAATTTTTCCAAACAAACAGGAGCTTCAACGAACATGCATTGTGTATTATCCAGGTGGTGAGACAACTTTAAATTCATTATCTCATATCAGTTTCAAATAATCTTATAATAATTACTTCTCCAAAATAGTACAACTAATAACTGGGACTTGAACCCAGCTGTCTCCACAATCATAAAGCATCTTCTTTCTATTACAATTTTTCTTATTAAACATAGTAGAGAAAGTAACTGGACTGATTTTTTTCCATGTGAATCCTTCAAAAAATCCCCTAAATACTTATTAAAAGAAAAATCATTGAGAATTAAGGATTCAATGTTTAATATCATAGATTTTTTTAATATACATATTTTACTGAATAAAATCAAATAGTATTATTAAGCACTGGCTGAATTTTATGTTTTTTTTGTAGTATCAGTGAAAGTTGTAAATTTAACATATGGGAACAGCTATTCTCCTACTTTATGTTAAAAGTTAGAATATTATTTATAAGACAATTAGCACTTCTGTAAATAAAGATGATTTATGACTATGAAGCAATGCTTAACTGCTTGTGTTTAACTTCTTTATAAAAATAGTGTTTAACTTCTTTATAAAAATTAAACTTGAATTACTTTCTTGTATTATTACAGTATACCAATATGTTAAATGGACATAATGTAGGGACAAAAATAATAAGAAATATTATTATCATTGATTAATAAAAGGAAATGGGAAATTTTTGATTTTAAGAATTTCAGGCAATTAGTAATTAGTATTATGAGTAGTACAATTTTAAGCATTTAGGTATCATAAGTGACTCTAGTATAGTACTCATTAGTTCATCTAAAAAATAATTTTTGAAGTGAACTTTGTGCATAATCATTCTACTTTTTGGTTTTTGGAGTTCTTTTTGAGATGGAGTCTCGCTCTGTTGCCCAAGCTGGAGTGCACTGGTGTGATCTTGGCTCACTGCAAACTCTGCCTCCCAGGTTCCAGCAATTCTGCCTCAGCCTCCTGAGTAGCTGGGATTAAAGGCACCCACCACCATGCCCAGCTAATTTTTATTTTTAGCAGAGACTGGGTTTCACCCTGTTGCCCAGGCTGGTCTTAAACTCCTGACTTCACGTGATCCGCCAGCCTCGGCCTCCCAAAGTGCTGGGATTATAGGCGTGAGCCACTGCACCAGGCCTTCATTTTAATTTTAATGGTAAGATTTTAGACAGTTTAAACTTACAGTGACTAGTAATATAATCATAATACCTTCTACCATTCTCTATCATAATTGGAAAAGTTGATCAATAGAAATGGGAAACTAAGGAAGGGCGCAGCGGCTCATGCCTGTAATCCCAGCACTTTGGGAGGCTGAGGCAGGCGGTCACTTTGGGTGACCAGGCTGGTCAGAAGTTTGAGACCAGCTTGGTCACCATAGTGAAACCCAGTCTCTACTAGAAAAATACAAAAAATTAGCTGGGCATGGTGGCGGGCCCCTGTAATCCCAGCTACTTGGGAGGCTGAGGCAGAAGAATTGCTTGAACCCAGGAGCAGGAGGTTGCAGTGAACTGAGATCGTGCCACTGCAGTCCAGCCCAGGTGACAGTGCAAGACTCCATCTCAAAAAAAAAAAAAAGAAAAAAAGACGAAACAAATAACTGTATTTTCCATTATTCTGCTAAAAGAAAAAAATTGGTAGCATACTCTTTCTTATAACATGCACTGAATCTTATAAAGCATTTGGTTTAATCAAGATATTGTCACTGACATGAAGAATTAGATAATGAGAACCACAATCCAAAGGATACACTATTTCTGTGAACCGCAATCCAAAAGGATCACTATTTCTGTGAACACATCATACAAGAAGTACAAAAACTTTACGAGTGCTTTCTCTGAACTCTAACTCAATCAACAAAATCTTTGAGAAGGGAAGATTCACGTTCAAAACAAAAAAACACAGTAAATGGCAGATTTAGGGATGAAACCCAGGCTAGCTGAATCTAAGTCCTGTTTTCTTTCATAACAATGTAAATGTCTTGTTGCTGTAATTCCTTGTGAAAATTTCAACAGAATTTTTGCCAACTGTTTTGAAATTCACAGTAAGCAAAACTCTCTTAAGATCTCACCAGATGAATATCGAGTTTGATCTGAGCATCACGCAAGGTAGGAGAATTTGATATTATCCATTTTTTGTCTATATAAAATACATTTCCTGATTGTTAAATGCAGCAGGATTTAGTATGGTAGACATGGCTATGACCTGACTGTTTTGTGATCTTGTTGGATGTAGTACAGGTTTCTTAATACACCATCGGTTCCTTTTGTTTTGTGGTCCCAGAATTTCTTTGCTTTCACTCATAGTATCAACATGCTCATATGATCTTCCAATGCTTCTCAGAGATTGAATGCTGTACTTTGAATATAATTTTACTGTTAAATCTGATGTAAATTTCTTCATCATATACTTCTGCCTTTGCAGAAGAGCCAAGCAAAATTTAAATTAAAAATATTCAAAACAGGTTAGTCCTCATAATAATTGAAACTGCTATATATTTTATTATTTAGGTATCCATATTTTCCCACACTTTGCTACAATAATATGTATAGTAAATATCAAGCATGCTTATAATACTTATGATATTTAAAATACAATAAAAGTCCAGCCTTGATACAAGTATTATCTAGAGAATATGATATATTTTTCTAAAACTTTTTGGAAGGAAATATTCATTAATCTAAAATTGTTTACACTTTTATTGAATGTCAGTGGTGTCCAGAACTTTCTTCAGTGTCCAGATAAGACTACGGGCAGTTAAATAACATCCAGGAAAACAGAAGAGCTCAAATTCAAGCCAGGCCTACCTGACTGTAGAATCAGAGCTCATCAACATTACTAGCAATACTAGCTCAATAGATTCTACTACGAATTTTAAGACCGATTTTTAGCCAATGTCTGCAAAATCTAGAAGACTGCATTTAGTTTTTCATTTCTTTTTAAATTTACCCCTATAAGCTTTATATTCAAGCCAGAAAGATTTTATCTCGTCTCTTTCCTTTTCTCTCCCTCCCACCCTCACTTCATTTCTTTTATTTTCTCTTATATTTCTAAGAATTTATTTACACTAGAAGAAATACAAGTTTTACTAATGTTATAATTTTGTCAAAGTTAATAACTATTCATGAAAATAATTTAAAGAAAAACACAAGAACTAGATACATGACCCAAGTTAGAGATATAATACAACCAGTGTTAAAATAATTTCTAACCATTTTTTTTTGTTATCTAGTTAAATTTCAACTCTAAAGTTGCTTTGGCATTATGCAACCGCTTGCAACACAAAATTACTACTGGTGAATACTCCTTTCACTCTGATAGCAGGAGAAAAGTGGTTTTTAAAAAATAAATAACTAGAGAGAGGACATAGGAGAAAGAATACTGAGAAAATGAAAATAGTAGACCCAGTAATTGGAAGTTAATTTGAAAACCCCACTGTCTGATGCTTCATATAATCATGTGCAATTATATACTGTGTGTTATTATGCATCAACCAATCATAGCTAGTCTACTATGGCCAGATAGATGAAGAAATAAGAAAAAAAATAAAAGTTATGTGAGACATATATATATATATATATATCACATATTTATTGTATGTTATATGTATTACATATATATCATGTATCATATGTATCACACTGTTTTATTGATGATGTTACAGAAAGCAGAAAAAAAGTTGTTATAGCGAGATTAAACATTTGGATAATGTTATGTCAGTACTACCATATGTCATACATGATTACTGGCATAACATTATCCAAATGTATTACAACTATACGATGATTGGCATATAGTTGTAATACATGAGAACTGCCATAACATTATCCAAATGTTTAATCTTGCTATAGCAACTTTTCTTCTGCTTTCTGCAACATCGTCATTAAAACAGTATGATGTCCATCCTTTAGATGCTTTAAATATTGAAGAATATTCAGCCATAAATTATAAAGTTTGGCATTATGATTTGAATGTACCATGATGTTACAGTATTAGCAATTAACATCTTCAATAACTATTTACCTAATCACCATATCTGCCAAGGGAAATGTTTGGTGGGGGTTGAACTCTCAAGGGTCATTCAAAACTTGAGATTCTGGGGGACTATCATTAGAGTGTATTTTGTTTATTCCAAAAGGAACTATTGAGCAGATTTGCCAAATCATACATCATGCAAAGACAAACCTAAAACATAATAATTTTCTACATCAAAAAGCATAGCTGCTTATTCTGTACAATATGCATGTTTTAGGTCATGACAATGAAAATACATCCATATCAATGTATTCCAAGTGAATAGCTAATGCAATTATTTATAAGAATGCAATGTATTATTTATAATAATATAAATATAATTTATAATACAATAATTATTTGCAATAATGTAATGTATTTCATATCAACGTATTACAAATGAATAGGTAATAAAATTATTCCAATTTAGGGTAAACTTGATGTTCTACATTGCACACCATGGATTCTGTAATAAGCAACAGAAACCAAAAGAGATGATCTTCTTTAGAAATAAAATGAACAAGAAATTGAGATATACAACTGTCCTTCAGTACTGCTACATCTCAAAATTTTCATACTTTTATAAGACTGAGCAAAATTCACTAATTGTTAACATTATATTGGTACTCACAGACCATAAAAAATGGCTATATAGTTGACAAAGTTTTTACTTGCTCTCAAATGTATGTCATACCTAAGTGTCTACCTTAGTTTTCAATATTAAAAATGAAAGACACTTCCACATTTTGCTTAAGATGAAGAAAATCAGAAAGAGACTCTTGTCCTAGCAATCTATCCCTACCAACAAGAGAAAGCGGTATTATTTACAAAGCCATAATTTATCGAACCCAACAGAGGGCTGAGGTCACAGGGCATCCAACTTGTTTGAAATCTAAGCCAGGCAACTTCAAATAGAGACAGAAAGTGAGCTCTAGCTAACCTGAAACAGAGCCCCAGAGGAAGACATGGTCACCGTATAAGCTAAAATGAATAATTCAGCTAAATTTTTGAAGAATTGCTAAAGGGAGAGTGTGAGATACTGTGATAGTATAGAACTCCTGGGAGATGCAGACACAGGACATTTTGCACCCATTAGCAGACTCCTTGGACCTCATGAGAAAGACTGGGGAAAAGGCTGGAGAGGGAGGACAGCTTTGCTTATGGTGTGGGCTAGAGGAGGGAGCAGCTAGTGGTCACAAAAGTGCATAGCTTCCCAGGGATTGCACTCTCACGTGGGACAGAAGCTATAAGCCACTGAGGAAAGACAAAAGACGCTGCCACAGAGGGGTGTGTGGTGAGGGTCCGACTGTGAAAAGAGCAAGAGAGAAGTTTTAACAGGGGTGACTGACTGAACTCTTCAGATTGTGGTGGTGGTTACATTACTGTATACACTTGTCAAAACTCAGAAAATAGAAATAAAACATTCTGCAGGTAGTAGAAAGGGTGAATTTTACTAAATGTAAATTATACTGCAATTTTGACAAAAAAGCCTCATAAAATATCCATCAAATAAAATAAATAAGAAAGGAAGAAAAGCAGGAGGAAAGGAGGAAAAGATGAAGGGAAGGAAGAAAAAAAGGAAAAAGGAGAAAGTTCCTTGTAGCTGAAGAACTCTGTAACTTCATCCTTTGGGTACTTGTCGTCAGTTTTCTGAACCTCAGTTTTATTAGCTCGAAAGTAGGAATAATATTATGAAACACTGAGGGCTGCTGTAAAGATTAAATAATGTAAATCATGGAAGTACCTGGCCCAGTATGATTGTCAGCATTAGAGCATATGGGAACTTCACCGGGAAATAATTGAAGTAGTTCACTCACTCCTGATGTGGCACCTGAATTTCTGAAAAGGCAATGTTGTAACGTGTTGCTTTGAAGGTATATGCATATCCCTCAACAAACACAGGAAGTATGTGTGTGTATATATATAATATTATATTATATATTTTATATATAATATTATATATATAATATATAATATATATTAAATATAATATATATATTACATATATATTATTATATAGTATATATAATATACTATATATTATAGTATATATAATAGTATATATATTATAGTATATATAATAGTATATATATTATAGTGTATATAATATACTATATATATTATAGTATATATAGTATGTATATTATAGTATATATAATATAGTATATATATTATATATTATAGTATTATAATATACTATATATAGTAATAATATTACTATATATAAAGTATATTATACCATATGTTATATATAATACTATATAATTATATATAATTATTATATTATATATAATATATATAACTATATATAATTATTATATTATATATAATATATATAACTATATAATTATATATAGAGTTATGTAACTATATAATATATATAACTATATAATAGTCATATATAACTATTATATATTATATATATTATATATTATTATATTTATATTATATAATATTATATTATATATATTATATTATTATATTATAATATATATAATATACAATATATAATATTTTATATAATATATATATACACACACATACACACACACACACACGAGCTTCAGGAATGAATTGTAAAATTAGGTTTCAGAAGACTGAAGATGCTGTAGCTTTTGGTCTTGTCAAGTTGTAGTTTTGGCACAGAGTCAGATGTACATGCTTTTGCAATTTTAGAACCATTATTGAAGAGAAATTGCTGGTTTAAATGTTGAAGGAAAATAAATTATTTCTTTCTCTTCAGATTCTTCCTGTACACTAACAGTTTTTGAGCTCCAGGTATATTATTACGCATGCAGTTATTTTTTTGTATCTCTTCTAGCTACTTATGTTCACACTTTTTTGGACAAGGCTTTCTCTGAACCCTAACAACTAGATTTGTTCTTATAACACCCTACACCTTACCTATAACCAAATAAGACACTGTTTTAATTTCTGGTTTACTTGCTTATCTCCTTATTATACCCTGGGCTATGAGGGAAAGGGTTATAATGGTCATTGCTTTATCCTAACACTTAGGACACCACCTTCAATCAGAGTGCTACACACTGCACATGTAGCATAGATGTATGAATAAACAACAAAAGAAAATGGATTCTGCCTGTGTGATTATAGCCCACAAAGAGTCACTGAAGGGAAAAATGTGAAAAACGTTTTTTCAGTGAGAACCCAGTCAGGGGCTAGAAATCATGTCATTTACTTTAACAGACAGAATTCGATACAAATAAGTGTTAACTAAGTACGCAATTGTCAAGGCCAAAAAGGGAACATGAGAGTATAGAGATACTCCTAACAGCTACCACTCTTAGAACTGGGTGATTAAAGAGAAATTTGAAATTATGATAATAAACTCAAGGCGTGGAGGAGAGGCCCTGTGGGTCTGCAGCCAGATCTTTGTGGAGCAGGCAACAATTCTCTGGTGCTGTTGTCTCCGAAGGGGCAAAATGAGGGTTGTTTGGCAGGAGTTGGGAAAAACTGCAAACAGGATGCCCTTGCTGCTACCGGAACAAATCCTTGCTCATGAGATGAAGAAGGGGAGCTACAGCACAGCTGACAGGAAATGGAAGCAAATAGAAAACCAAGAGGAAAGAGGAAGTTCCTGCTGGCTCCACCAGTCTTGCATTCTCCATCTCCTGCCTCCTAATGACCAGGAAGAAGTCAGTTGTCAAATAACAAATGTGGTTTACAGGGTCCATGCTCAGTATCTTTTTTTATTTTTATTTTTTGTTAATTTTACATTAAGTTCTGGGATACATGTGCAGAACGTGCAGGTTTGTTACATAGGTATACATGTGCCATGGTGGTTTGCTGCACCTATCAACCCATCACCTACGTTTTAAACCCCGCATGTATTAAGTATTTGTCCTAATGTTCTTCCTCCCCTTGCTCTCTACCCCCAACAGGCCCCAGTGTGTGATGTTCCTCTCCCTGGGTCCATGTGTTGGTGGGAGTGTAAATTAGTTCAACCATTGTGGAAGACTGTGTGGCAATGCCTTAAGGATCTACAACCAGAAATACCATTTGACCCAGCAACCCCATTACTGGGTATTTACCCAAAGGATTAAGTCATTCTACTATAAAGACACATGCACATGTATGTTTATTGCAGCACTACTTATAATAGCAAAGACTTGGAACCAACCCAAATGCCCATCAATAATAGATCGGATAAAGAAAATGTGGCACATATACACCATGGAATACTATGCAGCCATGAAAAAGAATGAGTTCATTCTCAGTATCTTAAAGCTGGATATACAAGGATGTATTTGAAGCTGAGAAGCAGTAGCTTAACAACTATCATGGACTTATAAAAGGCTGCTTATGGAACACAGGGGACAGAAAGAGGGCAAAATTCCTTTCTCCTCTGAACCTTTATTTTAGAAATAAAACTACTGTTATTTTACCATGAAACAACAAGACATAGTGTCATGTGCTCACACAATAAACAAATGTGGTAGTAAAAAGTGGTGTATGTCAGCTCTTATCTATTCTCAACGGGCCATGAATTAGCCAAACTAGCTATTTTGCTTTGGAAAAACAGTTATAAAAGAGGAAAATATCAAACAATTAAGACTAAACATACAAACAGAAATACTACAGAAGAAAGGTAAAACTAAACATGCAAACAAAGATACTACAGAGGAAAAACAGAAAAGAATATTTGCCACATCTAGATTCCTACATTTCTATCCTTCTTTGTCGTCACTCATTTGCTTTTGCTTCATGTCTCCTGGCAGTGCTATATCCTCTTCTTCTCAAGTAATAATCTCTGTTGGGTGAAAACCTTATATAAAATTTTGGTCCATACTTTTTTCAGTTTTTATAGCTAGTCTCCTTCCTCTTTTGGAAGCAAACACATTTCTTGCAGGCAAAGCTGAATCAAATATATGTTGCTATATTGCAGTGCCTTTTTTTTTTCTCTAAGACCATGATTATATATTCACTTATTCTTAAAAAAATCTTTACAAGACTGTTAATATTTTTGCCAATATTTACTTTTAGATCTTTTATAACATTATTTTTGTTTTGATCTTTTTGTCCAGAGTCTATTTTGTATACTGTGTAATTAAGGCTGTACCATTTCCTCAAAATATTTGTCAGTTATTCCTACATAATACACTGAATTACATACCATTGTTTTCTCCAATAATTTAATATTCCCTTCCTTTCATGTACAAAATTATCTTTGGGGGGTATTTTTTAGCCTACCACACAATGCTAAAAACAATTTAATTATTTTTTTCATTATTATTATTTCCAAATATATTTTGACTACTTTTATGCATTTTTCTAGTAGATGAATTTGGCATTAATACTTCTTTTTTTTGGTTAACATTTGCTTAGCAAATCTTGAACCATCCTTATGTTTCGTTAACCTGATAAGTTAGTTTTTATTTTTATTTTTATGATTAATTTTTACTTTTAGAATACTCACAAGAAGAGACATAAGTGGCTTTCTTTCAAAAATTGATATTCTATTGCAGCAATGAGAAAAATGTCTTCCAATTTTTAGATATTACTAATTTTTATTTTCAACATTTTGATAAACATACATGTACATAAAAACATATTTACAAATAATTATTAATGTTTTATATTTAACGTATGGCTGTTATCTTATATGTTAAAAATAAAAGCAGTTTGTAATTGTACCCCATAAATGCAATGCTGCAAAAAATTCCTCCTTATTAATTTAAAAATTGAAAGTAGATTACTATAATACATGGGTAATAGAGAATATATAAATGAAATTTATTGCTGCAATAACAGAATTTGAGAAAAAACTAATCTGACATACATTAATGATGCAGATAATAGTGTCGTGCGTATAGTAATATCTTATAAGTGAAAGGTGAAGCTCATAAAGTTTGTAATTGTATTTCTTTTACATGAACAAGTCAATTTTTTTTATGTGAAAGTGAGTTTCTAACAGTGTGTAAACCAATATGTACATTGATAGGTTTCCCTAATACTATATACAATTAAATCTTTATTCTGTCTCTCTGTCTCTGTCTTTATCTCTTTCTCTACCTCTTTCACTTTACCTCTCTCTCTCACACACACACACACAAACACACACACACACACACACACAGTGAGTAATTCATATACTACTAAGTTGCAAAGTGCTGGGGATAGGCCCCCAAAACTGGCCATAAACAAAATCTCTGCAGCACTGTGACATGTTCGTGATGGCCATGACGCCCACGCTGAAGGTTGTGTGTTTAATGGAAAGAGGGCAAGGAACACCTGGCCCACCCTGGGCAGAAAACCACTTAAAGGCATTCCTAAGCTACAAACAATAGCATGAGCCACCTGTGCCTTAAGCACACGTTGCTGCTGCAGATAGCTAGCCAGAGCTCATCCCTTTGTTTCCGCCCATCCCTTTGTTTCCTGTGAGGAATACTTCTAGTAAATCTATAATATATAGAAACAATGCTTATCACTGGCTTGCTGCCAATAAATATGTGGGTCAATCTCTGTTCGGGGCTTTCAGCTCTGAAGGCTGTGAGATCCCTGATTTCCCACTCCACACCCTATATTTCTGTGTGTGTCTTTAATTCCTCTCGCACCACTGGGTTAGGGTCTCCACGACTGAGCTGGTCTCGGCAGCAAAGCAACTAATTTTACAAGGTAAGAGGAGGGATTATGAAAATGTAGTATCTTTTTGAAAACAGACAGCAAAACTGAGGAACCATACACAAGTTTTTCACAAATGAAGATTTTCAACCACAGGGAGCCACTAGAAAAGTGTGTTTTTTGTATAGAAATTCTCAACTCAAATGGTGCATCAGAATCAGGATCTTGGCTGCTAAAATATATGAGGTACGAATTGGATCTTCAGTCTGAGACACTTAGGCCTTGAGGGTGAACGTAATGAAAACTGCAAAGTAACTCTTTAATTAATTAAGCATATACCTGAGACTTTAAAAAATAGACAAGACCATATCCAGAGAGTCTGATAAAGTTGTCTGGTGTGAATCTTTAAGTATGATTTAAAGTTCTCCCAGGACTTCTGCTTCCAGAAAGATAAAGTAGAAGTATTTTCTCTATTTCTTCTGCTACTTAAATCTAAACTTCCTGAGCATATTATATAAAACATAGATAAGAAGACCCCGGAGAGTTGGGAGAAGGCAGACCATCTAAGTACATCATGACCCAAGGAACAATACAGACTGTTTCCCGTTTTGTTTTTTGTTTTGTTTTGCTTTGTTTCTGTTGTTTGCTTTTTATTTGTTTTTGTTTTTGCTTTATTTTTCCCTTCACTTCATATATCCCAGATTTAGTACTGGATAAGCCAGGAACCCAGAAACACAAATGATATAAACAGAACGCTACAATAAAAGCCTGATCTCTGCAGCCAAAGACCAATGAAAGAGCAGCCTAACAAGACAAAATACTTTCAAAATGTAATTGCCTTTCTCCAGTCATCTACCAGAGAAAATGTGGCTCCACCTCTCCCTTGCCAGCAAAGACCTAAGGGGAACCAACACTTCCTCCCTCATCAGGCTGTAACTTGGTGCCACTACCTTACCTGAGTGATATGGCTATTATCTAAAAGACAAAAGATACCTAGTGTTGGTGAAGGTGTGGAGAAAAGGGAACTTTGTGCACTGTTGGTGGGAATATAAATTAGTACAGTCATTATGAATATAAATTAGTACAGGTTGGAATTCCCCCCAAAAAACTAAAAATAGAATTACCATGTGATTCGGTAATCCCACCTCTGGACATACATCCAAAAGGATTGAAATCAGTATACTAAAGAGATGTCGGCACTCTCACGTTATTTGCAGCATTATTCTTAACAGCTAAGTTATGAAAGCAACCTAGTGTCCATCATGGAATGAATGGATAAATAAAATGTGATAGATATATGCAATAAAATAATATTTGGCCTTAAAAAATAAATTCTGTCAGTTTTATAAACGCGAGTGAACCTGGAGAACATAATGCTAAGTGCAAGCCAGCACAGACAAACAAATACCACATGATCTCACTTACATGTGGAATCTAAAAAAGTTTAACTCACAGAAGTAGAAAGTAGAATAGTGGTTGTCAGAGGCTGGGGAAGAATGGTGGATGGGAAAAGGAGAGATTGATCAAAATTTCAATTAGATAGGAAGAATAAGCTTTATGGATATATTACACATCATAGCGATTATAATAAATATTAATGCATTATATATTGCAAAATTACTAAAAAGGGTAGATTTTAAATGTTTTAATCACGGACAAAAAATAAATATGTGAGGTGATGGATTTGTTAACTAGTTGGATTTGTTGATCCCACAATGTAAACATATCAAAACACCACATTGTATCCCATAGCTATATAATCAAATATAATTATTATCTGTCAATTAAAATAAAATGAATAAATACAACAATGAATTTTTAAATGAGACGGCTGAGTACGGAGCTGGTTCTCTGATCACCGTCTTGTGATAAGAAGGCCACCCATCTGTGGTGTCCATGGAGACCAACTAAAAAGTCTCATCTTCCACTTCCATGTGGTAGTAGTGGGAGTCCTTTCTCACACTGTCTAGATTGGTTATAGTGGCTGTATCAGTTTCAGAATAAGTCAATGTTGGAGCAAAGAAAACTATCAGGGATGAAGAAGGACATTGCATAGTGATAAAAAGGGTGATCCACCCAGAATATTTAGCAATTTTAAATTCACCATACAACAAAGCTTTAAAATATGTGAAGCAAATGCCTACATAACTGAAAGGAGAAGTAGACAAATTCCCAGTGATAATTGCGGGACTTCAACATATCTCCCCTAAAAGTTAATAGAATAGCTAGACAGAAAGTCAGCAAGGATATAGAACTGAACATATCAACCAACAGGATCTAATCAACACTTATGGAGCATACCACCCAACAATAACACAGATTTTTTTCCAAACACCCAGGGAACATATTAGTAAACCACAGCCAGGGCCATTAAAAATTATTAAATCATTGAAATAATTACCGAGTGTGTTATTCAACTACAGTGGAATCCAAGTAAAAATCAGTCATGCACAAACACAAGAAAATCTCCAAACAATTGGAAACTAACACACTTCTAATAGTCCCTGGGTCAAATGACTAGACATCTCAAGGGAAGCCAAAACATGCATTGAGTCATAAAGAAAATTCAACATATAAAAACACGTAGGACACTGCTAAAGCAATGTGGAGAGGGAAATTTATAGCACTAAATATATACATTAAAAAATAAAATTATCAGATAAATTATCCAAACTCTTATCTCAATAACTTAGTAAAAGAGAAGCAAAAGACCCAAAGCAAATATCAAACAGAAAGAAAACAAAAGAAAAAATCAGTAAAATTGAAAATAGAAAGACAGTAGGAAAATCAATGAAAAAAAAAAATTGGTTCTTTGTAAAGAAATTGAATTCATGTTTAAAGTGCCCCTCAGCGGTAAGGGCAGTGGGCTCCCCTCTGGCCCAGGGCAGGTCCAAGAGTCAAGTTCTGGAATCGCAGACCCCCAAAAGCCCGCATTTTGCTCTACCCCACTGTGGCCATGCTGGTACCTAAGGCACAAGACAAAGTCCCCTTTACTTTTCCCTCTGCTTCTCTGAAGCAGGAGTTTTGCCCCTTAGCCACCACAGCTGATAATATGCTGAGTCTCACCTGAAGCCAGCAAGTCTCAGAGGCTCAGCCAAGGTCCTTGATGTAGTACCTGAGTATTGTTGCTGGTTATTCAGGGCTCAAAGCCTCTTCAGTCAGCAGGTGATGAATGCTGCCGGGATCACCTCCTTTCCTTCAAGGAAGTGGAGTCCCTTCTGTTCCGGAGTGTGTCTAGAAATGTTGTTTGGGAGCTAGGGGCCGCACTCTGTCTGGTGCCCTATTCTGCTGTGGCTGAGCTGGTATTCAAGATGCAGGAGGCAGTCCTCCCCGCTCTTCCCCCTCTTCTCCTCAAATTGAAAGAAGGTGTGTCTTTTGGAGCCAGGAGCTCTGAATCCTGGGGTTAGAGGAGGGGTGATGCGAGCGTTCCACTGGCGCGGAAGGTAGCCCTTTTCCCAGTATGTCACGTGCCCCTCCAGTCCACTGTCTCTGGGCCTAGTTCAGCACTAGGACTTGCCTAAAAATTGCAGTCCTTAGGGACTACGCTGCCTTTCATGTTTTCTTAGGTACACAGAGTGCTGTAGCCCTTGGTGGTGAGGTTAGCATGCACTCAGGTTTAAGACCACTGAGATCAGTGATTCCCCTCTTGCAAGGGCTGGTTTAAATGCGCCCTCCATGGGCAGGTGTCAGTGATTTGGTCCGGTTTTCATTTCAGCTCTAACAGGACAGCACTGAGTTCAATCACTCACAATTGCTGTGTTCTCCCTCCTCCAGTGCCCGACAATGCTCTCCGCACCAGGCTGCCACTGCCCGGGGATGGGAAAGGGGTGGCGTCGGCAATTAAGGACTGTTTTTTCTGTCTCCTTGGTGCCTCTTTCAATGATACAAAGTTAAAACCAGGTGCTATAGTGCTCACCTGATTTTTAGTTCTTATGAAGGTGTTTTTTCTGCTTATATTAACTTTAACTTGGTGTCCTTGGGTGAGGAGGGGTTGGTGAAGCTTTCTATTCCACCATCTTGCTCCCCTTTGCCGATTGTTCTCAGTTGAATAGTTTTTTGTATATTAGACAGCAGCCAGAAAGTATCAGGTCAAGATTTGAACTCAGAATCCGGAACTCGCTCTCTTAATCTTTAGATTGTATTGTCTTGCCACAAAATTGGCACAGCATCGTAATACATGCTTTATTTACTCCTTTTCTTGTAAGTAATACATTCTTGCAGTTTTTCCTTTATGTTTTTGTCCTTTCATTTAATAATAATTATTAAGTACATGTTATGTTCGTTGGGCCATCCAGGAAGCACACACTAAGGCCAAGATGGCCAAGATAGAAAAGCAAGATGTTTATTGCAGTACAATGTAAAAAAAAAAAAAAAAAAAAAGGGGGTGGAGGAGGGGAGAAAGCAGGATTGGGAAAGCAGCATCTTTAGACAGTGATGCAGGTATGACAGCTACAAAAGGAAGGTGGGAGGAAACAGGATTGGTCAATGAAAGCCTCCGAGTACACGGTCAGATGTAATCAAGTGCAGGATAATCTAGAAGAGAGCTTTGTAGTTCCCACCATCATCAGTCACTGACTAGCTGCTTGGAGAACAAATTCGCATCAAAATCTGAGATGAACTATGAAGGCACGAACAGTTGAAGGCTATGAATTAATTTCACTGTTGATAACTGAACAGCAAACTTTTTTTTTTGTAGATCTGAGCAGGACACTTCAATTGCTGCCACAAATATTATGTACTGAAAAGAGTGCCAAATGCTAGGAATTCAATTGCAAGCAAATGAAAACACCTCTTTAAGACAGACATTGATAAAACAACAGCAATAACAAATAAGTATACATGTGCAAACACAGTAAGCACAATAAAGGACATACCTATAGTACTATGGCAACACTTAGGTTGAGAATTTGGCAAAATTAGATCTCAAGGTATTTTTTTGTCCTGAGGAAATAAAAGCTAATTAAAGGAAGAATTTTTTTCTGCCAGAATGAACAGAACCTGGACCATCTATGTCAATAGGGAGAAAGGTTGGTGTAAAACCTGAGAGAAGAATATTTTCACTAGAGCAAGAGAAGAGTACAGTAGAAAATAAAGGAGTTGGTAGGCCATATTTAGGATTTTTTCAGAACTTTAAAAAATAAAGCATATTATATCATAAGCATTTGTAGACAATTATCTATTTATTTTCAAGAAAAGCTACAGACTATTTAATTTTAAATATATCCCATAATCTAATTAACTCAACCATTACTGGACAATTAACTTGTATTTTTAAATTTATAAACAATGCCTCATTTAATATCATTATATTTTTATTATATTATGTATTACACCTGTAAGATAAATATAGAATAGTAAATATAGAATAGTAAAATTACTCATCAAAATATATGAAACTATGGTTTTAAGGCATATTTCACAAACAAAACCATAAATAAAATATTAACATAAAAGAAAAAATCTGTTTCTACAGGTTGCCTTGCAGTTTTCCCAGGAAATAATACTTTTTTTTTCCTTTTTCAAATATGTCCTCCTAGTCCTTGTCTATTTGAATAGCTACTGTCTTGCATTTTCAATATTGAGCTATAGAATCATTGACCACTAGTATGTTTACAAATCATAACTATTACCCATCTTGGAACATATTTCATAGACTTACCCACGTAAGAATATATAGTTTGATTGGAAATCAATACCTGAAATTCAAAGCATGTTCCCTTTTGATTTAATTTGTGCTCATTTTTGAAAGTATTTCTAGCTCAGCCATCCTCAGCATGTATCTTTTGACTGGCAAAAAGATGGACTGCCTGTGCTGCAGGACCAGCTACTTGGAGGGATGACTGCCTATCTTTTTGAAGAGCCCCTTTTAAGTGGAGCACATAGCCTATATCATATGATGGAGCATCCAAAAATAATAAATTTAGAAAATCAAGCTAGATATTTATGAGAGTTTCAGCAACAAAAATACAGACACTTATACTGTTGGAGATATACAATCTTTTATAAATGTTTTTATTGTGTATATTTTAGTTGTACAATATGTTTTGAGATATATATATGTATATATATGTGGTGAAATGGTACAACAGTCAAGTAAATTAATACATTTGTCTCCCTTATACAATCTTATATTTTCTCTTGTCACTTGGCCTTATAAAATAATCATTTCCTTGGTATAATTAATTCCTCATTAATATTTTAATACATTGGCAATATCCTGATGAGTAGATATACCCTTAACTGGTCCTTTTACAGTATACTTACAATACTTATACTTAGCAATATACTCCTCCTGTATAAAGACATTTTTCATTGAAATAGTACAAACACATATACAAATTGTTTTGTTTTTATAATATCAAAAATATGTTTTCTATTTTAAATATTTTCCCTCTTCTCACAAGTGACAAATACTTGGTCTTTTATATATTTGTTATTCAATATAATGATATTAATCACTGTATGAAAAGAACCTGCCAATCATGTTTGATGAAAAATTATTGCAATGAAAAAGCATTGCACCACTCAATGTCTTATGTTTACTTAATTTATAATTTTGCGATGCATTTTATGTTATTTTTCTCACTTAGAATTAAATAATTGTGAAATAGCCAAGATATGAGGTGAAACTTAAGTGTCTGTTAATAGAGGAATGAATTAAGAAATATGGTTTATATACACAATGGAATACTATTTACCCTTAAAAAATAAGGAAATTCTGTCATTTGTGACAACATGGATGAGCTTGGAGGACATTATATTAAGTGAAATATCAGACATAAAAAGACAAACACAACATTATCTAATGTATGTATGGAACCCAAAATAGCCAAACTCATAGTAGCAGAGAGTAGAGAGGTGGTTACTAGGATCTGGGAAGGGAGATTGGGGAGATATGGTCAAAGGTTACTAAATTTCAGTTAGATAGGAGGAATAAGTTCAAGAGATTTATTATACAAATGGTAACTATAGTTAGTAACAATGCATTATATACCCAAAAATTGTTAACAGAATATTTTTCAAGTGTTCTAAACACAAAACAGACAACTATATAAGGTAATGCAGTGTTAATTAGCTTAATTTAGCTATCCTACAATGTATACACATTTTCAAAACATCATGCTGTACAACACCATAAATGTATGCAAGTTTTATTTGTCAATTTCAAATGCATAAACAATTTTTAAATAAAATGCGAAAAGGACGTAACTAGTAATATTACTGAGTAAAATCAAACAGGGAGCTGGTGTTAAATTACTTAACTATCTCCTACAAGTAGAATTATGAAATCAGTTTTCGGGGATTCAGTTAATTTACAAGTCTAGAATGGTGGATGCCTAAATGTATGTGGTTAAAGTTAAGTATGCATATCAAATTAAAATTAAAATTTATAGCGTACATTGTGGAACATTTAGGGGCAATACAAATTTGTACTTTGAAATTCACTTCTATCGCCTGATTTTCAGCACTTGGCCATTCCTTTGCACCTTGATGTATTACATTACTCTGTTGAAATCTTTTCCCGAGGTCCTAACTTTCTCTCTCTCTCTCTCTCCCCTTCTCAATTTTTATGCGACATGGTCATTCAACAGAAAAATGTCCTATTTCATTTCAATGTTTTCCTATATCTTAAGGTAAAGTTCTGCTGTTCCAAGTAGTCTTCAGCATATTTGAAGAAGCATCATTTTTTAACATATAAGTTTTAGAGCAATATGAAATTGAGATTAATATAATTGAAGAGATTTTTAAATGTAAATCTTGGCAGAAAGTTTCCAAATAATACAAATAGTCGATTTCAGCTACAAAAATTTGTCTTGAACAACAGATCTTAACCTACATTTCCTAGATTAAGCAGGGGCCAAGACAAAAGCTTGTAATGCAGGGTTTGTTTGGGAAGTAATACCAGGGATGAGGAAGTGAACAGGGAAGGAGAGAAAATCAAATACAGGAATGTATTATCAAATTTGTCATTGCTATGGGTGACCAGTACTCCAACCTACGATATCTTCTGAGGAGTCTTGAAAAATGTATTTCAGAACTATTTCCCCAGGAATTCAGAGAGAAACAGTTATTACTTTTATTATGTCCCCATTATTCAAAGGTAGCCCACTGAGCATTTGGCTCCTCCTACTTCTGGATGAATTCATGCATATGTATGAATTCCACATAGGTTTACAAAGTGAGTTTAATTCTGGATGTGCCTGTATTAAGGTACTTGTAGACAGCAAATAATTGATGGACACAAATGGACTTAAGAAGTAAAGTCAAAACAATTAAACATGGTATACAAAGGTGCCTAATCCATCATATTATACAACCAATTACACTTTAAAAAGTTAATTGATGGATTAAAAATAGGAAATTTTCTCACTGCTGTCCTAACAACTCCAATCTCTTATGATGTTGTGTGGGGTAGGTAAAAAGAGAATGAGTTTACAGTCAGACAGATTGGATTCTTCCAGTTACTAGATGGGTTATAGTGAGAGAGTTATTGATTTCTACTAACATCACCTTTTTCTTTTCTAAAATAAAGACTAACAGAAGTTCATGAGGTAATACATGCTGTATTAGTCCATTTTTATACTGCTATGAAGAAATATCCAAGATGGGGTAATTTATAAAGAAAAAGAGGTTTAGTGGACTCACAATTCCACATGGCTGGGGAGGCTTCACAATCATGGTGGAAGGCAGAGGAAGACGAATGGCAAGTCTTACGTGGTGGCAAGCAAGAGAGTGTGTGCAGGGGAACTGCCCTTTATAAAACCACCAGATCTCATGAGACTTATTCACTATCACGACAACAACAGGGGAAAAAACCCACCCCCATGATTCAATCACCTCCCACTGGGGCCCTCCTACAACACGTGGGGATTATGGGAGCTACAATTCAAGATGTGATTTGGGACAGCCAAACAATATCATATATTGCTTAACAATATGCTAACTCCTTAATACCATGTAAATACTCCAAAAATGTTTACTTCATTCACACTACCTTTTTTAATTTCGTAGCCAGTAATACTGAGATATTGTATTCCATAGTCCTTCTTGGTTTACAAAAATTAAACACATTATTTCATTTGACAACCATAACAATCCCTTGACAATGTCTGCTTCCAGAACAGACATTGAGTTTTATAAATGAAGACACAATGTAGCTAATGATTGAACAATTTGTAACTCATATTCACAGTTTCTCTTCAATAAAGTGTTCTTTCTACTACTTGATACTGCCTCCTAAGAATATATATCTTAGTTAATTTCAAATTGTCTTTAAATTTACATTTTAAAAGTCTCTGGAATTGTTAGTGTACATACTGGTACGAGTCCCTGACCTTATTCTCAGAGTGGTAAAGAGTTAAAAATGATCTCAGCGACTATAGTACTATTTTGCTCCTCTACTAAGAATTGTGCTGAAATTTAGATATAAATGTAATAGCCAATTGCCATAATGTTTACATTCTGCAAGGGAACAAACTCTTGCCACACCCTTCTCTGGAAATTTTTGTTAAGAGTTCTAAAAGATCCACCAAGTATATAGTGTCTGGCTATTTATGAATGTCATAAATGCAATTCTGTCTAAGATCAATGATACAACCCATCTTCTATCTTCACATCTCATAGAAAGAATACGGTATTTCATAAAGATTTTGGTAATTAGTTTTTAAAATACCACATTTTCTTCAAAGATGAGGAATGAAAAAAGATCATCCCTCTACTCCATTTGTAACATATTATGAGGTGGATTTTTGCTTTTCTTTGTTCTCTTTCCTTTTTCATCTGAGCAAATAGACCTTACTTTGAGACTTTCATCAAAGAAGATTCTCTTCATTCTCCCTCACCAGTTATAAAATTGCCTTGTCTTCTGCTTCCCTAAAGAGTCGTATTTTCTAATATTGTTGTCAAAGCAGTCCCAGTTGAGATAAGGAAGGCTCTCCTGTCCCTCCCTTTGAAAATTTTGCTGTGAAATTTTCTTCCCAGTTCTCTATTAATAGGTTCAGCAGGATTCCACCCAGCTGTCAACTGCACATTTTGCCTATCCTAAAGTATATGTGGATACGAAAACATAATTTTTATATTTTTCTTTTGTTTATATTTTTTAAAATAATTATGGCACTATTTTTATTAATATATTGGTATATAATATTACCTGCATTTGAAATGGCTATATATTGCTTTGAAAAGCTTAAATTCTTAAACATTAATCAATTCCTGAAGATGGTTTTAATTTTAGGACCCGGTAATTTCAACAATTAAAAGCTAAGTAAAACAAACATCTGTCCTCCTACATATAACTTGTTTAAAAACAGAGTGCAAATCATCATACAAAACTGTCACGATTATCCAAGCACTGAGATATTTATTTTTAAACTAATTATTCTCTCAGTTAATTTCTAGAAACATTGGACCATGACATGCCTTACATGACAGTATTTCTGGTGTCAAAAAGCATTTATTTATAAACTTATAAATAACATTGTGCCTAAAGCAGTAATTTGGAAAACTTATTCCAAGGTAATCCTTATGACTCTTAAAAACAATTATTGAAATTTCTTTTGTAAAAACTAGATTTCTATGTGTTTTGATATTAATGATTTATTTTATAAAATTGCTATTACTCCAGGTACACTAAATTGAACTTTTCAGTTTGGGTGTGAAAAGAATGGTGACAGCGCTATATTCTTCTTATTTAGAATCATAACTTGTTTCTTTTCCCGTCCCTTCTGTTGCTTTTCTCCTTCTACTGTTTTTTTTTTATTACTATAGTTTAAATTCTGGGTACATGTGCAGAATGTGCGCTTTTGTTACATAGTTACACATGTGACGTAATGGTTTGCTATATCCATCAACCTGTCACCTACTATCCCTACCCTAGCCCCCCCATCCCCTGACAGGCCCCACTTTGTGATGTTCCCCTCCCTGTGCACTTGTGTTCTCATTGTTCAACTGTCACTTATGAGTGAGAACATGTAGTATTTGGTTTTCCGTTCTTGTGTTAGTTTGCTGAGAATGATGGTTTCCAGTTTCATCCATGTCCCTGCAAAGGACATGAACTCATCCTTTTTATGGCTGCATAGTATTCCATGGTGTATATGGGCCACATTTTGTTAATCCAGTCTATCACTGATGGACATTTGAGTTGGTTCCAAATCTTTGCTATTGTGAATAGTGCCACAATAAACATACGTGTGCATGTGTCTTTATAGCAGCATGATTTATAATCCTTTGGGTATATACCCAGTAATGGGATCGCTGGGACAAATGATATTTCTGATTCTAGATCCTTGATCGAGAATCACACTGTCTTCGACAATGGTTGAACTAATTTACACTCCCACCAACAGTGTAAAAGCATTCCTATTTCTCCACCTCCTCTCCAGCATTTTTTTTTTAATGCTGCCATTAAATGAAGCATTGACTTTTTAAGGATCACCATTCTAACTGGCATGAGATGGTATCTCCCTGTGGTTTTGATTTGCATTTGTTTAATGACAACTGATGATGAGATTTTATTCATATGTTTGTTATCTGCATAAATGTCTTCTTTTGAGAAGTGTCTGTTCATATCCTTCGCCCACTTTTTGATGGGGTTATTTTCTTCTTGTAAATTTGTTTAAGTTCTTTGTAGATTCTGGATATTAGCCCTTTGTCAGATGGATAGATTGCAAAAATTTTCTCCCATTCTGTAGGTTGCCTGTTCACTCTGATATAGTTTCTTTTGCTGTGCAGATACTCCTTAGTTTAATTAGATCTCATTTGTCAATTTTGTCATTTGTTGTCATTGCTTTTGGTGTTTTAGTCATGAATTCTTTGCCCATGCCTATGTCCTGAATGGTATTGCCTAGATTTTCTTCTAGAGTTTTTATGGTGCTAAGTCTTACATTTAAGTCTTTAATCCATCTTGAGTTAATTTTTGTAGAAAGTGTAAGGAAGTGGTCCAGTTTCTGTTTTCTGCATGTGGCTAGTCAGTTTTCCCAACACCATTTATTAAATAGGGTATCCTTTCCCCATTGCTTCTTTGTTTCAGATTTGTCTAAGGTCAGATGCTTGTAGATGTGTGGTGTTATTTCTGAGGCCTCTGTTCTGTTCATTTGGTCTATATATCTGTTTTGATACCAGTACCATGCTGTTTTGGTTACTCTAGCCTTGTAGTATAGTTTGAAGTCAGGTAGCTTGATGCTTCCAGCTTTGTTCTTTTTGCTCAGGATTGTCTTGGCTATGCGGGCTCTTTTCTGGTTCCCTATGAAGTTTAAAGTAGTTTTTTTCCGATTCTGTGAAGAAAGTCAATGGTAGCTTGGTGGGGACAGCATTGAACCTATAAATTACTATCGGCGGTATGGCCATTTTCACGATGTTGATTCTTCCTCTCCATAAGCATGGGATGTTTTCCCATTTGTTTGTGTCCTCTCTTCTTTCCTTGAGCAGTAGTTTGTAGTTCTCCTTGAAGAGGTCCTTCACATCCCTTGTAAGTTGTATTCCTGGGTATTTTATTCTCTCTGTAGGAATTGTGAATGGGAGTTCACTCATGATTTGGCTCTCTGTCTGTTATTGGCATATAGGAATGCTTGTGATTTCTTCACATTGATTTTTTTATCCTGAGACTTTGCTTAAGTTGCTTATCAAGTCATTATTTTGTGGTAAAATCCTCCCCATATAGATATAGGTGAAAACTCTGTAGTGTCCATTATCGTGTCTATTTTACTCTGGATGATTTTGTTTTATTATTTTCTGTTTTACAGGTTTTCTGTTTATCAGAATGGTTGGATTGATCCAGGATTAATATATTGTATTTTGGTGAGATTAAAAAAACATGAAGAAAGATTCTTGAGCATACTGCTGCAATAATAATATAAATGACGGATTCTATGATAATTAACACATGTAGAAGAGTCTAAAGACAGAAGGAACTTGGAAGTTCAGGAGAAAATTCTGTGGTTAAAAAGTCTGAAGGAAGATTTAATGAGGCTGGAGAATAGTTTTTGTTGTAATGAAGGAGAAAGTTGAAAAATGGGAAGCTGTAAAAAGATGATAAGATTGTTTTAATTATAACTTTTATACCTAGAGTACTTCTGGAGGACAAAAAAGTCCTCGTTGCTTGGAGCAGAAATGGTTGAGATGCAATAAGAGTGATTATTTATTGGAAGTGTATAAACCTTGAGTCTACTTGATTGCTGGATAGACCATGCATATGATTATAGACGTCACCCAAAAAAGAACTACAGAAGTGGAGAGGGAAATCAAAAGAAGGTGTTGTCATTGTCGGGGATGGGCTGAGGAGAGTGGCCAGGAGTTCATAGAGTGGAAATGAAGCGTGTGGATTATTTAGCTTTTTTGTGTGCTACTGATATGAATGGGGAAATGTTAGGTAAGATTGTACTGGTTTAGAATGCAATTGGAAAATTCTGAGAATTTTACAGTCCCCTAGATTTTCCTCCCTATATCTACAGGAGATGAGATGCCCTGTTATATTGGAACTGACTTAAGAGGAATCAGTGCTCTAAGCAGGGTGTTCTGTCTCAACTGAACTCATGGCTGGAGTTACCCCAAAAGCAGGAACAGGAGAATTTCTAAACAGAAGTGCCACAAAATGTCTTGAGAAGGGGCTGGTTGAGATTCTGAAAAAAGAACCACTAAATGCCAGGGTTTTAAGTCCAAAGCATTTAGTAGGGGAGCGTTGGTACAGGGACAGCTGCAGTATATCCTTGTTGTGAACAGGGAGACAAGGGTTGTTCTACATAGGAATATCCCAGTTGAGTGGGTCGAGTTATGAAGTTTATATGAGGATTTAAGAAATGTCGCTCAAGGCCAGGGCTAATGTCTTTCAGGGCTAGTGTTTTGGACCATAACTAAAATACCTTCATCGGTACCTGAAAGTGTTCATGTATCCATCTTGTGTTCAAGCCTTTAAGGAAAAACATGTAGCTGACTAGGTCACAAAGTGGTCAAGCCACTCTGCATTTCTAGGTCAGTAAAGTGCAAGATTAGGGGGAACTAGAGGAACCTGCATAGGGGGAGCCAAGATTCAACTACATAACAATCAAGGGTGTTCCGTTGAAGTTTTGAAGACATAGTACAACATAGGGTACTGTGGAAAGGTTTGTAAAGGAAAAGCACATTTTTTTTTTCTGAGAATAAATAGAGCAGTAATAGGATGTAAAATTGGGAGAGCAGAGATGAAGACAAAAACATTTATTTTACAATTATAGAAGATATCTAGGCACTCTGTGACTATGAGATTATCTGATTTCCAATATTATACATCTGAAGAGTAATGTTTTAAATGAGATTCTATCCTGATTGTTTAAGACAGAATATTTGTTTCTGTGGTTGACATTCTTTTTTTCTTGGAAAATACAGCATTCATCCTACTCTATAAAATAATGCAATCTCTTTTGATGGAAGACCTTCATTATAAGATAACAGGCCTTCATAGCAAAATCTATCAAAGGTATGTACAAAAAATGATAACAAAAACAATACCATCAACAATTGCAGGTGATAGTCATCAGATACCAATGATATTACAAATACTATGATACACATTTAAAACACTGTGTAATTCTTGGAGATACTATGCATGTTAAGAAATTTTTCCACACTTTTTTTTTTATTATACTTTAAGTTTTAGGGTACATGTGCACAATGTGCAGGTTTGTTACATATGTATACATGTGCCATGTTGGTGTGCTGCACCCAGTAACTCATCATTTAACATTAGGTATATCTCCCAATGCTATCCCTCCCCCCTCCTCCCCCACCCCACAACAGTCCCCAGTGTGTGATGTTCCCCTTCCTGTGTCCATGTGTTCTCATTGTTCAATTCCCACCTATGAGTGAGAACATGCGGTGTTTGGTTTTCTGTCCTTGCGATAGTTTGCTGAGAATGATGGTTTCCAGCTTCATCCATGTCCCTACAAAGGACATGAACTCATCATTTTTTATGGCTGCATAGTATTCCATGGTGTATATGTGCCACATTTTCTTAATCCAGTCTATCGTTGTTGGACATTTGGGTTGGTTCCAAGTCTTTGCTATTGTGAATCGTGCTGCAAGGCAGGCCAACATTCAAATTCAGGAAATACAGAGAACACCACAAAGATACTCCTCGAGAAAAGCATATCCACACTTTTTAATTGAGAAAACTGAGACCAAGATCCTTTCTATGACATACCAAAGCCCCATAACCTATAAAACCATCATTTTACTCTACCATCTTCTCAACTTTCCTCAAGTTTCATTGCTTGGGCCTTTTTTTTTTTTTTTCTTTTTAACAGATGTCTCATATGTTTCTTTCTGGTGTGTGGATTTAGTGGTTCACCTTTCAGGACCTATCTCAATATCTTCTTTCTGGGCTACTCTTAAAAAAATAGCATAGACTGGTTGGTTTATAAACAACAGAAATTTATTTCTCACAGTTCTGTAGGCTGGAAAGTCCTAGATCAAGGTGCCAGGAGATCTGGTGTCCGGTGAAACCCACTCTCTTGCACAAAAAAAATCACATTGCAGAAGAGGAGAGGGGAATTTCTTTGGCCTCTTTCATAAGGGGCACTAATCCTATTCACAAGGGCTCTACCCCAATGACCTAATCACCTCCCGAAGATGGAGGGGAAAACACCTATGTCTTATTAGAAGATCCAAACTTTCTTTTATTTGGTTGCACTAAGAACAAGTGATATTATTCCTTTGCCTGTACCTGAAATTGGATATGGAGATTTTACTTTCTTGTTTTTTTTTCTTACGTGGAGATTATCTATGCTTACAAGACTGGCAATCTTTCATAAATTGAAAAAAATGTCATTTCTGATTTCATTCACATAATACTGTGTGTATATTAGTGTCAATTTTTTTTATTACTTTAATCAATAGCTTTGATTCCCATTTTGAAAACAGCAGTAGTTTAGGCAAATTGACAAGTATTTAATACATTTAATAACTCTTCAAATGTTGGTTGTGGTTGATCAATATAATTATCTACTTTAAACATATTTGTATACCAACTCAAATGGAATACCATAACAAAAGCAAAAGGCCCACAGATCAGATTATAAAGGAGTGAAGAGGAAGAATTCTGATAAACAAAATGACATTGTAAATGGAGCATCCATATTCATTATTTCTAGGAGAAACTAAGCCTTTGAATGACAAAATGGTAAGTACAAATTTTCTAGGACAAAATGTCATAAAAAAGCCACTTGGTATTGTCAGAAGCAGTTATTATTATTGATGACCTGCCATCTGTCAGCAATATCAATGTATTTGATTAAATTTACATTGGTATAATGAATTGTTGCCCTTAAACCTTGGCTTTTCTACCATAAGTTACAAGGTAGCAATAACGACATGGCAAAATAAAAGTAAAATTACAGCTACACATATAAAATATAGAATCAACAGACTGTCAGAAACATATTAAGTGACCTTAAAAACTTCAGATGAGGTAAAATAGTTCATTGTATTATCAACAATATAAGGTAAGAAATATATTCTCAAATGCCTAAAGCATCATAATACATTTTCTTCTAAAGTAAGGCCTGGGGATACCAACTCAGGTGCAGTTTTACTGAAATTTTCACAGGGAATACTGTAAATTGAGATAGACTCAAGCCAATGAAAACAAAATGGCTAAAACCTTTCATGGATCAAGAAAGTGACTGAAAGGCCATTTCATGATAGAAATATATAAAAATAATCATGTTGTCACATTTCTTTCAAAGAGGAAAATGGTCTGCTTAAGAAAAACTTGCAACCATGTGCATGATTTTATTTTAACCCTTTAAATCACTTAAAATCTGAAACTTAAATAGCAATAGATGTCCACTTAGCAAGTTAGCATGGACCTATGCTAGAAAACAGTTTCTGTTTTTTCTTAAAAATGAGAGGATGTTTCATTTGACCCAGCCATCCCATTACTGGGTATATACCAAAAGGACTATAAATCATGCTGCTATAAAGACACATGCACACGTATGTTTATTGTGGCATTATTCACAATACCAAAGACTTGGAAACAACCCAAATGTCCAACAATGATAGACTGGATTAAGAAAATGTGGCACATATACACCATGGAATACTATGCAGCCATAAAAAATGATGAGTTCACGTCCTTTGTAGGGACATGGATGAAATTGGAAATCATCATTCTCAGTAAACTATCGCAAGAACAAAAAACCAAACACCGCATATTCTCACTCATAGGTGGGAACTGAACAATGAGAACACATGGAGACAGGAAGGGAAACATCACACTCTGGGGACTATTTTGGGGTGGGGGGAGGGGGGAGGGATAGCATTGGGAGATATACCTAATGCTAGATGAAGAGTTAGTGGGTGCAGCGCACCAGCATTTCACATGTATAAATATGTAACTAACCTGCACATTGTGCACATGTACCCTAAAACTTAAAGTATAATAATAATAAATTAAAAAAAATAAAAAATAAAAAAATAATAAAATAAAATATTTACCTGTAAAAATAAATAAAATAAAATTAAATTTTAAAAAATGAGAGGATGTAAGCATACCATTTCTCTTCTTGACAACCATAAGAGTGGAATTGCTGATTGGTTTGTGTAGAGAACAGAGAAAGTGATTGGAAGGGAAGGGAGGTGATTTATGAGACGTGTTATTATTATTTTCTTGGTATTTTTAAAACAACTTAATTTACAAATAGTAGTTGTGTCTATTTATGGGATACAAGGTGCTGTTTTGATATATGTAAATATTGTAGAAAGATGATTGTTTTAGTGACAGGATTCTATCTACCTCACACTCTGATTATATTTCTGAGAGTTGTCCATCCCTTCCTCCCAGCTCTTGGTCTTAGTTTATATAGAGAAAAATAAGAAGGAAAAAATAGGAGGAAAGGAATGACCAAGGCTATTTATATTTAATGTGATCACAAGTGTCATTTGGGTGGCCTTAGCTTCCATTTCTTCATATATAAGATTAAAAAATATAAAAATAATAATAATAGTGATATATGCCTACTTAGATTTTATAAGAATTCAATAAATAATTAATGTAAAATGTATTTGTAATTTGTAGGTGCTGTTTAAGCATCAGGTTTTAAGTTATTAAATGTGTTAACATGGAATTTTGCACATTACACACTTTTCTAAGGCAGATCATTTTCTTCTCAAGATATGTAATATTCTATTTCTAAGCAATATCGTTTTTATATATTTCTATCATTAATTATGCTGAAAAATACGAAAGTAAATTTTCTTCAATAGATAGGCAATATTTTTTTAAAATCCAGTGTGAATTATCTCAGACATCATATATGAATTGTGCCATAAGTTGTGCAAAATTGATTCTTCCAAACAACAATTATTTCTAGTAACCTTTTAAATTTTTTTATCATGCTATCATTAGTGAGAGGTCCTTAGTCCCTAACTGTTCCAATTCACTAAATTGCTTTAAGCTAGAATACAAAGCCAGTGCCAAAATTTGAGCTATTTCCTTTGTCAAGACTGAATTTGTCTTTAGTTTGATTGTAATTCTCAGAGAAAGAATATTAGCTAAAGCAGATTCAATTAAAAGAGAGTTTAAATATTGATTAAAGCAGTGATTCCTGTTCTTACATAAGCCATTCTAATTTTATGTAACGTATTACACAGAGTCAAAATGATATTTAAATAGAACAATTTCAGAAAATTGTGAAGATGTAATTATTCATTACTCAGATGTCCACTATTACTTCACTAGTTGTTTCCTTGTAATATGCTAAAAAATATAAAAGTGTATTTTGAAATACTGTGATAAATACCATACAGATGGTTATTGTAGTACTATATCATTTGCTTTTAAAATTATCTTGTAGGTGTTATGCAGTTATTTTTCTACTATAATGGGTTAAGAGGAAAAAACAGAGAAAAACTTAACTTTAAATAATGCAAAAAGTTAAAATGATACACAAATGATGTCACAATATAATATCTATACAAAAATCACAGTTGTTCAAATTGAGAAAATTATTGAACATTACATAAAACGTGTAAAGGAATGCTAAACTTATCAAAGACCAGACAGAAAATAATCTAAAACAAAACAAAAAACAAAAAATCACCTGTGTTCAAAATAGCATCACAAATATAGTATAGAACAATGGTTTGCAAAGTGTGACTTGTCTACCTAGTCTGGCTCACTGCTTATTTTCTCATCAACCATGAGTTAAGAATTTTTTAATATTTAAAAATTATGATATTTTATGACTCATGAGAATTATATTAAATGAAATTTGAATTCCAGTGTTTATAAATACACTTTATTAGAACACAGCTAGGCTTATTCATTTATGTAATATTTATGGCTATTTTAATGATAAAATGGTAGAGTTAAGTTGATGCCACAGAGACTTTATAAACTGCAGTATGTAAACTATTTACTGTCTGGCCTTCTATGAAAAAATTGCTGACTCCTGGTGCAAAAGATACGTACATGAGGTTTAGAGTTAGAATGTCTCCATTTAAATTCTCATAAGCAGTTTGCCATTGGACAAATCACTAAACAAGTCTGTACCTGTTTATATTTTCTGAAGATGAGGAAAAACACACAACACTGGGTAGAAAAAAATATATATTGTTTTTGTTGTCACCATTGTCATTGTTGCTGTTGTTCAAATTTGGGACTCTATAACCTATCTCAGCCAGACTCTATCTGGATTATATTTTATTGCATTGTGAAATAAATTTTAGTATAAAAGAAAAGGGAGAGTAAAGGATAATAATTCCCCTTTATTCTTTATCAATATCAATGCCACATGGTACCCAAGTATCATACACATGCATCTTATCTCACTGTCAGAGATAGAATCTTTAATGGCATATACAGTTTGGGCCCTAGTATGTTCTGGTATATACAGTTTGGCTCAGCCCTTTAGGGGATGGATGGGAGAGGGGAGACACAGAAAAGTTTCATCAGTATCTTATAATCAAATTGTACCTTATACATACATACAATTGTTATTTGCCAATTAAAAATAAAATAAAACTTAAAAATATCTGTCTAGGACCATCTTGGAGCATCTTCCTTCATGGATGGTCAGATGGAGCTGACCCATTTTGTTACTTTGTTCAGGACAAAAATGTGGGTCTTTGATGGCATTCAATCACAATTTTCTTTTGTCTAATTTGGAACACAAAGGTGGAAGTTTCTTCCTATACCTCTCCTTATTTGTATTCAGATATATTTTTATGAAATGCACACACATGTACACACATTATGTTAAAACATATAGGCTTTAATCAGAGGATACAAAGTAGCAGATATGCAGAAATAATAAGTTTAGAGATCTAATGTACAACGTGAGGACCATAGCTAATAAAATTGTACTATACTTGGAATTCATGCTACACAAGTAGATTTTGGCTGCTCTTGCCGCAAAAACAAAAAACATGGATAAATATTTGAAATGATGGTTATGTTCACATGCTTCAATACAGTAATCTTTTCACTATTTATCTGTATCCTATAACATCATGTAGTATGTCTTAAATATACACAATCAAAATTTTTTTTAAAAAAGAGTGTACAGGCAGGGAGTGGTGGCTCACACCTGTAATCCTAGCACTTTGGGAGGCCAAGGTGGGCAGATCACCTGAGGTCAGGAGTTTGAGACCAGCATCACAAACATGGTGAAACTCCATATCTACTAAAAATACAAAAATTAGCCTGGTGTGGTGGTTCATGCCTGTGGTCCCAGCTACTTGGGAGACTGAGGCAGGAGAACCATTTGAACCCAGGAGGCAGAGGTTCCAGGGAGCCAAGATGATGCCACTGCACTCCAGCCTGGGAGACAGAGTGAGGCTGTTTCAAAAAATAAATAAATAAATAAATATAATGATAAATTAATACCAGACAAAGTTTCAGGAGGTTTCATGCTTCCAAGTAGGGACTTTATCCTTTGATATACCATAATAATAATATTAAATTGAATTTCATAAATTGAAATTTATTGGGTTTTACATTCGGTCAACATGTAATTTATAAAATTTACTTCAGTTGTTCAATTGTTTAAGAGCTGGCATGGGCTGAAATGTGTACCCAAAAATTTATATGTTGAAGACCTAGCCCCCAGTATCTTAGACAGAACTGTTTCTCTGTATTTGGACATACGTATTTAAAGAAATAAATCCGTTAAAATGAGGTCTTTAGGGTCAGCTCTAATCTCATATACCCAGTGTCTTATAAGAAGAAGAGATTATGACACAGACAACAGATGCAGAGGAAAGGCCAAGTGAAGACAAAGGGAGAAAATGACCATCTATAAACAAAGAAGAGAGGCCTCAGTATGAAACCAAACCTGCTGCCATCTTGACCTTGGACTTCTGGTCTCTGTAATTACGATGAAATAAACTTCTCTTGTTTATGTCATCCAGTCTATAGCATTTTGTTACAGCAGCACCAGCAAACTAACAATACAAGAGCTATATGTACAAGGTAATTATAACTAGTCTTATTTTTGTACTTAAGAACATTATAATAAAAAGGATTAAATTTTTTGATGGCCCACAGCAATTATATATTGAATATATTTCTCAAAACAGACACTTTTTTTAGAGATTTGAAATACCTGGCATATGAGCTTCTATTTCCTTAACCATGCCAGTTTTTCCAGCTAGGCCCAAATATAATTTTTAAATTCTTCTTAAAACCACCAATTGATCTGAGTTGACACAAGTCATAAAAACCTTTTTTATAGAATTTATGGATAAAAGGATGTGGTATCTTGAACTATTCAAAATTTAAATTGCTGAATAATGGGTACCTGGTATTCCTTAATATATTTTTATTTCTATATGTTCTATATGTCAATAACAATTTTCAAGTAAAAATATTAAATATTTTCTTTAAAATATTAATTATTCAAAATTTGCACTAAAAGGATTAATTGAATCAATTTATTTAGCTTTAACTTTCTTTTATTATTTGTTATATAATTATCTTTTTTGTATTTATTGTTTAACCTTTCTGTGGGCTAAGTTATGACATATATATAATTATCAAGAACTGTGAAAGTTGTATATTTTTACTCCACTTGCGAGCTGAGAAGTTAGTCTCTCACTGTCTTAAGAATACTCACAAGAGACCTGAGATTCCTGATAAAGTATACTTTATCACTCATAACATTAATAATAACCAGTTCTTCGAAGTCCTAGTTCTACAGGGTGCTGAGACCAGATCCAGATGATGTTAACACACTCAGTGGGATGCATAACAGAAGAAAAATCCAGAGCCTAGAAAACCCAAATCTTGTAAAATGTACAATGAGCATCCCTGCCCTTGCTGCAGAAAGAGACATTATCTTTATGATACTTCACAAAAAGCATCTCTGATGCTTTGTTTCAGAGGAAAGCACTACGACTGGCTGTTTGCTTTACAAATATCCTTGAAAAGATTGTCTGGAACAGATGCCAGCCCGTGTCTCTGCTTATAAGACATGCAATAATGTCTACCCCTCTTTTTTATACCATCTTGACTTCAGGCAAGTTTTCCCATTAGTATACCATCCCTTTGGCCACTTTAATTAAATTGAGTGACAGAGGCAGGGGCAAAATGTATTCACATTGTCTCATTCAACACTTGATTAGGACTACTGCCAACAGTTATCCAAGCAACCAGATGGGGCCAACCTGCAGTAATGACCTCAAGCTTACCCCTTCTGATCCCCCATTCCCACTCCTGAACCTACCCAGCTGAACAAATCCTCCACCACCATAAACAGTTAGGATATACTATAGAAACCAAACAGCTTCTCGTTACGACTCTGTTCTTAACTTTTCCTTTTGTCTTGAGACACTATTCTTGGCATAGCAAGACACCTTAGCAATTGCACAGCCTCGGTTGACCCAAAAAGATATCTCTTTTCCAGAACATGTCTGGCTAGTGAGAAATTCTATTTTTCCAGACCACACCTGGCCAGTGAGTTGAGGTTAGCTTGAATGCCTCCTAGGGCCAAGATAATGCCAAATATTTCAGCTAAAATAAGAGATAAATTTAATATCACCTTTCCTAACTAAATGCCATTTATTATTTGTAGTTTTTGTTGTAGAGGCCTTTCACCTCCTTGGTTAGGTATATTCCTAAGTATGCATTATTATTATTATTATTATTATTATTATTATTATTTGCAGCTATTGTGAAAGGAGTTTTTTATTTGATTCTCAGCTTGCCCACTGTTGGTGTATAGCAGAGCTACTGATTTGTGTACATTAATTTTGTATCCTGAAACTTTGCTGAATTCATTGATCAGTTCTAGGAGCTTTTTGGAAGAGCCTTTAGGGTTTTCTAGGGATATGATCATATCATCAAAAAACAGCGACAGTTTGACTTCCTCTTTACCAATTTGGATGTCCTTTATTTCTTTCTCTTGTCTGATTGCTCTGGTTAGGACTTCCAGTACTACGTGGAATAGAAGTGGTGAGAGTGGGCATCCTTGTCTTGTTCCAGTTCTCACAGGGAATGCTTTTCACTTTTCCCCATTCAGTATTATGTTGGCTGTGGGTTTGTCATAGATGGCTTTTATTACATTAAGGTATGTCCCTTGTATGCAATTTTGCTTAGGTTTTTAATCATAAATCGATGCTGGCTTTTGCCAAATGCTTTGTCTGCCTCTATTCAGATGATCTTGTGATTTTTGTTTTAATTCTGTTTATGTGTTACATTTATTAACTCACATATGTTAAACCATCCCTGCATCCTTGGAATGAAACACACTTGCTCATGGTGATTATCTTTTTGATATGATGTTGGATACAGTTAGCTACTATTTTGTTAAGGGTTTTTGCATCTATGTTCATCAGGGATATTGGTCTGTAGTTTTCTTTTTTGGTTATGTCTTTTCCTGGTTTTGGTATTAGGATGATACTGGCTTCATAGAATGATTTAGGGAGGATTCCCTCTTTCTCTATGTTGTGGAATAGTGTCAATAGGATTGGTACCAATTCTTCTTTGAAAGTCTGATAGAATTCAGTGGTGAATCCCTCTTGTCCTGAACTTTTTTTGGTTCATAATTTTTTTTATTGCCATTTCAATCCTGCTTCTTGTTATTGGTCTGTTCAGGGAAAAGGAATCATTATACAAAAAAGATACTTGCACAAACATGTTTATAGCAGCACAATTCACAATTGCAAAAATATGGAACCAGCCCAAATGCCCATCAATCAATGAGTGGTTAAAGAAATTGTGGTGTGTATATATATATATATATATATATATAATGGAATACTGCTCAGCCATAAAATGGAGCAAAATCATGTCATTCACTGCAGCCTGTATGAAACTGGAGACTATTATTCTAAGAGAAGTAACTCAGGAATAGAAAACCAAACATCGTATATTCTCACTTACAAGTGGGAGCTAAGCTATGAGAATGCAAAGGCATAAGAATGACACAATAGACTTTGGGAACTTGGGGGAAAGGTTTGGAGAAGGGTGAGAGATAAAAGCGTACAAATTGGGTCCAGTGTATACCACTCCGGTGATGGGTTCACCAAAATCTCACAAATAACCACTAAAGAAGTCACTCATATAACGAAATACCACCTGTTTGCCAAAAACCTGTGGAAATAAACATTTTTTAAATGTCATATATTATAAAGATAGCTGCCCACACTGTGCACATAAATAAGCCAGTTATTCCTACAGAAATCTCCAGGCACTCCTTCATTGTGGAGAGCCTTTCCAGTCATTTGAGGGCTACATGATCTACTACTGGTGTTTCCTTCATTGTTTGAAGTTCTCTTATGACTATGCTTGATATATAAGTCACCATATTTTAAGAAGAAAAGAAAATTAATGCTTGGTTCTACACAAAAAGTACAGTTCAGGATACACATGGTACCTCTGAAAAAAAAAGTATTTACAATTATTGAAACACACAAGTGGGGCCTAAACAAGTTGGGCTATCACAGCTTGAGAGTCCTCCTGGACAACTGGTAGAGTTGAACTGGGTTCCCAGTTGAGCCTGAATATTTGAGAGTAGTCCTTGTTTTGGAGGGATTGCTGAGAGCAGTCAATCCAATCTGTCCTGTTTTTATTCACCACTTGTTGGGTGTTATTTGCTTTTCCCACTAAAATAGTGCTAAAGGTGTTGACAAGTTTTTGTAGTAGAAGATGTAGGAGCTAGAGCCATCTTTGGCAGTTACATAAAGACTTCTTTGTATGGTTAAGGGGAATGGCCATTAAATCATAGTCAGAATTAGAATTGTCTTGTGAAGAATGGCAGACCCAGCAAACAGTTAAAGAGTTTGCAATTGTTTTAGAGTGCCCCACTGGGGTGTATTTCTTCATGATGAAATCTCCCAAGGCTCTTCTAAATAATAAAGATAATTAATATCACTGTTTCCCTGTATCTTCCAGAATCCGAGCCTTCCTCTCCCCCAAGCTCCAGGAATGCTACTCTTCTTTCACTTCTAAAAGTATTGATGGCTCTTATTTTATTAGTTGTACCTACTTTTTCTCCATTCATCGCTACCTTCACCCAAACTTTTAATCCAGGGAGGTAGGTGCAAATGAGATGAAGGCATTTTTATAAGATGTACAGAGAAATATTAGATCTTACCTTGGCTCACATGAAACACTGTAGGGGAAATCAGCAAGCAGTGTACTCAACCAAGCAATCATTAAGATCTAGGACTATGTCAACCAAACAAGTAATCCAAGTGGCCGATGCAGACTTAGGTTTTAATTTCTGAGCGCTTCTTTTTGGCTGCGCTATTACCTGGAGAGTGTTCCAACTAGACCTACATCAGATTGCTACTGAGGTTCATTCTCAGCAGACTATCTCAAGGACAAAAAACTAAACACTGCATGTTCTCACTCATAGGTGGGAATTGAACAGTGAGAACACTTGGACACAGGAAGGGGAATATCACACACCAGGGATTGTTGTGGGGTAGGGGGAGGGGGAAGGGATAGCATTAGGAGATATACCTAATGTAAATGATGAGTTAATGGGTGCGGCACACCAACATAACACATGTATACGTATGTAACAAACCTGCACGTTGTGCACATGTACCTTAGGACTTAAAGTATAATAATTTAAAAAAAGCGTCATGTCCAGGCATGGTCAGAGAAGAATTATGAATTTTTAAAGTGAGTCTACAGAAAAACTATCCTTTTTACCTTGATCATTACCCAAGAAGTAGACTCAAGGCGATTATACTTTCCTGGGGTCAGCCATTCTCAATGGCCAAACTGCCTTACTAACATGTATAAACTACAAAGAGGCGAGTGAGCTGGAGTTGTTAATTTTTACAGGAAATCTTTGGGGTAGCAATTCCAATGCTAAACAATATCAGATGCATGTGAATGATAAGGAATAGTAAAGGTCTATTGAATAGCTTGACTATTAATCTATTGTTCAGTGCTTTTACTCACTATTATCAGACACAAATGGTCTGAAAGGCCAAACAATCACAGATTAGTTTGAAGCACCAAGGATGTGACTGTAGTCAGCTGATCAAATTGGAGCATGCTGCATCTTATCCAGAAAAAGTGTCAACAGTGTTATCAAAGCAAAAATTGCAATGGACACAATTAAACAGGTAAAGATACTTTATTCAAAGTTATTGCAACAGTGGGAAGAGACACAGAACAGTTTGAATCAGCTCCAATGAAGAAAAAGGCAAGAGAGTTTTTGAAAGCTGGAGTTGGGAGATCCTAGGCTGTTTGTGTTTGCCAATTGGTCTCACCCAAAGGAAAAATAAACTGTGTCTTTTATTCATGTTAGGAGGTAGTTTTTCACTTGGAGCAAGACGCCTGTGGAAATTAGGCTCATACCTTCTCAAAGAGACTGAGAGATAGGGATCTATTTTCTTAATGCTTATATTTCAAATGACTGGTCCCTAAGTCTTTGAGAAAGACAGTCCTGCATTGTAAAACTGGCAAGAGACATAATACCTCAAAGGGACAGAGAACTAATTATAATAAGAAGTTTCTAAAGTAAATAATCTGAGAAAAGGTTGGGGAAGGGTGTCTATTATTAAAGCATTTGGATTTAGTAAGGACCAGAATGAGAGGGATGTCAAGACAGGCAGGAAGAACCTGCTTAAAGTTTAGCTGACACCTTGGTCAAGGCCTAAGGCCTTTGAGTAGCTGCAGAATGGGTTAGAGGTCTGATGTACTTAGTCTACCAGGAAGGGCCCGAAGTTGTGCCTAGGCAATGTGCCCTCCTTCAAAGTGATATCAATGACTCAACTATTGACAAGAGTCATAAGTTTGGCAATGCAGTGGTATCCTCTGAAAAATGAGTTTTTTTTTTCTTTTGTATCCAGTCTATGATGGTGAAATATGTTTCCACAACTGGTATGATGGCGTAGGCAGCAATAGTGGCAATTTGAATGGTGTGGCCTCATGAGCAACTTGATTCTGTTGCATCCAATCGGTGAATACAGCCTTACTGTGGACCCCTACATGAGTGGTATAGACAGTTCTATCAGCACCATGATTTATTTCAATCATTCATGGCCCCAAAAGAATTGCTTTATTCTGCCAGTCAGTAATTTTCCAAGTAGATCAAATAGCTAAGCCAGTACCAACAGTCCAGGAGTCAATAAAAATTAAAGAAAGGTTCATTGATGTGACTATTGGATTGTTCTATGAGAAAAACCTTGAGTTATTCCCACTGAGTAGAACAAGCATGTCCATTGTCAGTACTGAATAGCTTGCATTAGGTTGAACTGCAGCAGTCTTGTAGACACCACTGAGTTTCATCTTAGCTGAATATCAACCAAATGATCTAGGCATTTAGAGGAACTGCTGAACTGAGAGCCTCGCTGAGCCAGTATCTTTGTTTAGTGGGTGGAATAGGAAATAAAGTTTGCCCCAGAGTGAGAGCTGATTATATATTTTTTAATATAATGACAAGGTGCTGCCAGGGCCAGGCTGACTATATTCTAATTTACCATTTCCATTTGACAATTGTATCTTGTTAGTCAGTCTAAGTTGACCTGCTGCATAGAATGTCAGGCTAGTGATTCACAAGTCTCCATGTATCAGGCATAAAGTTTCAACTAAAGCCTAGTAGCAAGCTAACAGTCACATTTTAAATGGGTTTAGCTGGTATCTGGGTCTAGTAGGAAACAAGTCCAAAACCCTAAGAGGCTCCACTGGGTGAAGACTGCCTCCCTTTCCCAGAAGCTCCAGCCAAACCATCAATCTCAGAGGCTGGTAGTTTTAAGGGGCTATTGGAGCTATTAGCACCAAAGGTACAGAGTATACTACAGCTTACTGGACAGCTTCTACTGGAGCCTATTGGTTTGTTCACCACCCAGTGGATGCTGGTTTGAATGTCAGCTGACAGAAAGGAGCAAGTAGACTGTCCAAGTGAGGGACACGATGTTTTCAATATTGCAAGAGTCCAATGAGATGCTTTACCTTGTAGTGGTTGTAGCAGAAGAGATAGCAATTTTTCCTGTACTTAAGATATATTGAGTGTAATGAATCTGACCACATGGTTCCAATAAATTATTTTTGGCTCCTTGTTCCTGCTTTTTGTTGGGATCTATCAGCTACTCTTGCTGGCAGATGTTGGATAGCACTGTTATCATGGCTGCTGAGACTCATGATTCTGACTTACTAATCAACAGGATATTGTTGATACAGTAAAGTTGATACTGTATTGTTGATACAGTAAATGGATATTTCTATGCAGTAAAAGTTTTGAGTGTCTAAATGTAGAGCCACTTGCACTGAATTTTTACCTATCAACTGATGGCAATGGCAGGAGAGTTTGTTACACTAACACTTTCTCTACATTTAGCTCTTTTTGATGAGGAGAATCTCCTCTGACACTTGTGGCATTGGGAAACAAAAACATAGAGCATGTCAATTTCTTGGATATATTCAGTTGCAGAAGAATCAACCTAAAGTGCTCCACCTTTAAGATTACGTAATTTTCCTTTATACATTGCAAACTTTACTCAAAACATATAGTTGAAATTAGGTGCTTCCTCCTCCCATGGTTTCGGATGGTGACTAGGGTGTCTATATCCAACACAGTCATAACAATTTAAGTCCTTCCCTCTCCTGAAGTTACCCAGCATACTTGAGCAGATGTACATGGCCATTGGTCCCATCTGGGGACAGGGCAACTACTGCTCAACTCCAGTCATCTTTTTCTCCCCACAATCATTGCTTTTCTTAACCCCTTTCTAGTTTTCCCTGGGAATATTTGCCAGCAGTGCTTGCAGCTGCAGCGTTCACCCCAAGATAACTTTGCCACAAAATATCTCGCTTTCATTATCTTTTTTGCTTTGCTCTAGTATATCGGCTTTGGAAACAAAAGACATCATTCTATTTATACAATTCTGTTTTTAGCAATGGTATTTACATTTACAAAATGTAGTAATTCTGGATCGCTGAGAATGTCAAATCCTAGAAATCATAGCATTCCTACGCATGATGTTAACATCGTTCTCGAACAGTTGTTGGCCGAAGATTCATTTGATGAATCTGATTTTTCCAAAATAGATAATTCTGATGATTCAGATGATTCTGATGTTAACTTTCTTTAGAAATAACTCCAAGAACAGTTTTTATATTTTATTTTCGCATTGCAAAATCAATCAAATTTGCTTCAGTCTCAAATAGCATGTTTATGTAAAATTAAATGAGCAATGGCAGTGAGCTGCATTTTTTTTTTTTAAAAAAACAGGGGCAGCTGAGGTCCAGGCAGAGGGTGAGGGAAATGTTGAGAAAGGGGGAGGACGATGTGGAAGGAGAGTGACACTGCATGAGTAATGCACATATACCTTTATTACCAGCAACCACTCATTCGCCTGGAAATAAAACCTTAATGCTTTTGGTCTGTATAAAACTTTGTACTTTATAGCAAGGTCCTTATTGCTGACCCCATTTATTTCCAGTTAAAAGACTCCTTGGCCCAGCAGCCATAATTCCATTGTCTTTGGCTGATGCTGCCTGCTGCATCATTGTCATACTAACAGCCCTTTATCCACATGCCCAGGGTAGAGTGAGTGGCAATCAAGACACTGGTTTGGCTGCTTATTTCAGTTCTACCTCTCACTGCTCAGTCTTTACACCTGCATAAACAGCTATGAGAGTGAGAGAGCCTTACTCTCAGTTCTCAATTTTGCTCACCACTTGGGAGAGCATATACCAGATGCCATGGAGTCCTTCTTATCCTTCTCATAGTCTTTGAGCCCTTGTCTTTTAATTTTTTTTTCAGAAAGCCATATCTCTGACAGCATCCTATGCTCACATCACTGCCATTATTGTTAAGAATCATGAAGCATCTGAGATTTTACCCTATTTGCAAGCTAATGAGCTAGCCTACCCCAGTTTCAGAGATGTTGCTAGAAGACAGAACACTACTGGGTCAGAGACATTCACAGAGGTAATATAAATGAGCTCAGTTGGATGCCTGTACACATAGTGGGTTGTGTTACATAAGAGAAAACCTGACCATAGGTACCTGAATCTATTATACTGGATAGTAAACACACCTCCCTTTACTCTGGAAAAATATACTATTACGATTTCCCAGGGAAGTTCACTTTACAGTTCATCTTGAACAAGGCAGAGGTTAGGGACACTGACCCTCCACACAGTTGAAAATTCACGTATTACTTTAGAATACTCCAAAACTTAAGTAGCCTAATGTTGCCTGAAAGCCATGCTGAAAACTGAAACAGTCAACTGACACATATTTTATATGTTTATATATACACATATATATAAAATGTACTGTTTTCTTAGAATAAAGTAAGCTAGAGAAACAAAATAGATTACTAAGAAAATCATAAGGAAGAGAAAATGTATTTACTATTCATTAAATGGAAGTGGATCATTATGAAGGTGTGCATCCTCACCAACTTCACATAGAATAGGCTGAAGAGGGGGAGTGGGGAAGGGGTTGACCTTGACATTGGGAGGTGGCAGAGGAGCAAGAAGTGGAGGAGCTTGAAGGAAGTCAGGAGAGGCAAGCACACTTAGTGTAACTTTACAGAAATACATCGTTATTTCTGTCTCACTTTTTGCTTTTTTTATTTTGCTAAAAATATTTCTATACAGTACCAATTCTTCTTCCACCATTTGCTTTCGTTTCTGTGCTGTTATCATAGAAGGGTCCATTTTGTAAAATAGGTCAATAGCAGTCATGAATAATCTGAACCCTTCTCCTTCTGCCAGATGGTTCAATGTCATCTGCTTTCTGGCACCGCTTCTTCTTCATCTTCCTTCTCATCACCTGGGACTGATGTGGAAGCACTCATCTCTGTCAGGTTATGTTCTGTTGCTTCTTTTTGTGTGATTTCTATCAGTTCTTGAATCTCTCCAAGACACATATCTTGAAACATTTCACCTCTCACCCTTTTTTCCATACCCACAATCTCTTTCATGATTTTCTTGATTGACTCTGTCATTCATCCTACAAAGTCATGCAGAGAACATCTGGACCCGATTTTCTCCAGCAAGAATTTATTGTTTCAGGCTTTCACAACTTTTTTTTTTTTTTTAGTGACAACAATGGCATCTTTAATGGTGTGATCGTCCCAAGCATTCATAATGTTCTCTCTATTGGGGTTCTCTTCCATAGCACTCGTAATTCTGTTCATAGAGTACTGTGTTTAATGAGCCTTAAAGGTTCTTATGAACCCCAATCAAGAGGATGAATTAGGGATGTTATGTTTAGGTGCAATTAGACCATGTTGACACTTTTGGCGTTGTACTCATAGTGCTCTGGGTGGCCAGAGGCATCATTCCAATATCAAGAGAACTTGGAAAGAGAGTCTCTTCCTGGCAAGGAATTTCTGGACTTTGAAAACAAAGCCTTGATGAAACCAATCCAGAAAAAAAAGATCTTGTTGCCAAGGCCTTCTTGTTTTTTTTTTTTTGTTTGTTTGTTTTTTTTATTCTTTTTTCTTTTTTTTTTTTTTTATTATTATTATACTCTAAGTTTTAGGGTACATGTGCACATTGTGCAGGTTAGTTACATATGTATACATGTGCCATGCTGGTGCGCTGCACCCACTAATGTGTCATCTAGCATTAGGTATATCTCTTGTTATAAAACCCAAGGAACTGCAGCTAGTGTTTATCTTACCCCATCAAAATTGAGGATCAGCATATAGATAAGGGCAGTCCTGATTGTAAACATGCCTCCATTTGCATAGAAGATTAGAGCTAGCCTATCCCTTCCTGCCTTAAACCTTTGTGCTCCATTCTCTTCTTTACTAATAAATACTCTCTGTGGCAATTTTTTTCCAGAATAAGATAGTTTTGTCTGCATTAAAAGCCTTTTCAGGTAGATATCATTTTTCCTCAATGATTTTCTCAATGGAAACCTGGGCATTTTTCTGCTGCCTCTTGATTGGCAAAAGATCCTTCTTCTGTCATCCTTACATTTTTCTGACCCAAACATCTTTGTAAAATTACCAAACTATCCTTTGCCGGCATTAAGTGCTCCACCTTTAGATCCTTTACTTTCCTTTTGCTGTAAGTTGTCATATGATGACTTTTCTTTCGCTGAAATCATATTTGAACCTATAGGTATGCCTTTTTTTTTTTTAACTTTTGAGACAGATTATCTCTCTGTTTCCCAGACCAGAGTGCAGTGGCATGATCATGGCTCTCGGCAGCCTTAAACTACAGGCACTTATCACCAGTCCAGGCAATTAAAAAAAAAAAAAAAAACTTTTGTAAAAATGAGGACTAGTTATGTTGCACAAGCTAGTCTCAAGTTCCTGGCCTTAAGAGATCTTCCCACTTCAGCCTCTCAAAGCACTGGGATTACAGGCATGAGCCACTGCACCTGTCCTGATTATGCCTTTCTAATAGTAATCTTGCACCTACATAAAAGTTATTTTCAATACAAAAGAAAAAAGATATTTTCATGCCTCATGGCATAACTGTAGTGACCACTTCACTAATTTTCCTTTTTTATGTTTTTACAGTGGTCCTTAACCTGAATTCATTTATCATGTAATGGTGGCCAACCAGAGCTGTAGACCTAAATCTACAGTAAATATCAAGCGATTCAACTATTTCTTGTAACGCTGTGACTTCTTTCTCCTTCTTAGGAGCACTTCCAGCATCACTACTGGCACATTGATGGGTTACATGATGTATTTACTCAACATAATGAAATATAAGTTAGAACTGTGAGAGACCACTTTATACTTAAATATACAATTTACTGGAGAGATAAACTTCTCATGTGGAGATGATTAGTGTCACATGGCATTTTAAGTGGATGCAACACTTGAGTTTACTGCAATAGAAACAGGTGGTGGCTACAAAATTATTGCAATAGTACAGTATTACTGCAGCTGATTTTATGCAATTATGATTGAAAGCTGCATCTTTGGGTTTGTTTACATTTCTCTTAATTGCAAATGGTGCCATGTACAATATGTAAGCATAGGCACAAGTTTTGAAAAATTTTAACTTTTTATAATAAATCAGTGTGTATTTTATGATAGTAAATAATGAAATAGCCTAGTAGGTATACGTATTTTATACATTCATGGCATAACTAACTTTGTCTTAATTTTTTTATATTTCTAGGTTATGCAGTTCATTTGTGAGTTTTTTCAGATTTGTCACAAATCTCAAAAAACTCTTCCAATATATTTATTGAAAAAAATCCAATAAAAGTGGACCTGCATAACTGTACAAAGATTCTCAGAAAGCTAATTTAGAACAAAGGGGAGTAACTGCCTCTGCTCATAGGATGCGTAGAAATGTGAGAGAGCTATGGAAATGGCTTCCCAGCAATATTGTAATAATTATAATAAATGTAATAAGAGATTTTGAAATAACCTTAAAAATGAGGCCTGTAAATTTTAATGGTCTGTTTCTTTTAGTCCTTAGTTCCAGATTACAAAATATATGAAAATTTCTCCATTATTTATTTAGGATTAACTTTTATTGGCTCATTATAGCCATGATTGTATATATTTAAAAAATCTGTTAAGGAATACTGAGATGTTTTAGAAATTTTCATATTTAATTAAATGTTGGTTTTTTTACTCAAATTACACTGCTGAATCTTAACATTTTTTATAAATTAATACAGGTATATTTTCTTTCATGAATTAGTTGATGCTATGTAAGTCCCCATACAGGTTTCATAAATATTCATCAGTGGCTCTGCTATATTTTAATCTGCATTGTCTTCCTTTGAGGTAACTATTGTTTTTGTCTGAGTCTTTAATCAGTTATGACTTGACTTAATTTACATCTTGAGTTTAGTGTGATTATAACATAAAAGGGAATAGTTATCAGTATTTGAGGCTTAGTTATTACCAATGGATCTACATTGTCTATGATTACTTTAGAAAAAACTGTGGGGTAGTAATAATATGCAATAATCTCAGTTATGGTGGTCTCTCATTATTTTTAAAAGATGGTGATTATCAGTACTTTCCTAGAAAGGCAGGCACTTTGATCATTTTCCTGGGCTTGAAAATGTATTCTCAGAGATAGCTAAGTTTGGTGGAATGCCATCCCATGTCAATCTGGATGGCCAGGCTAAGGGCTTCAACTGATAATTAGGAAATAAAGTGTAGAAAAGAATAAAGCTTTATAGCTTTCTTGAGGAGACAACTAGAAAGCATTTTAGACTGGGAAAGAAGCCACTTTTGTGACATTTATCAATATTTTCCCAATAAAAATTTAGCATATTAATAGAAATATACAAGTTGTATTAAAATGGTAAAAAACTATGTCTTTCAAATAAGGAGCAAGGATATAAAATTTACTTTATTTATATACTTGATCCAAACACTTTTGTAAATTAACCTCCATTTTCTACTGCTATTTTATATGTTCATCTATCCATCAATGCCTGGATATCCAGGCAGGTAGACATTGACATCAAAGAATTCTGTCAGAGGGAAATAGGGTTGTACCTGTTTATTAAAATACAGTACCTAGCATGAGAAATAAGTAGAAGAACCTTTTGAATCCTAATAGTTTAACAACAGGAGAACTATAAGTTTACATGTTAGTCTCAATATGCTACAAAAGCAATTTAATATTGGTCTAAAATATTTTCACTGTTTGGTGCTTAAAAGAATTCCTTCTGAGATCAAGATAGACTCTAGAAATCAAAGTAGCACTAGAACTATATTTGATTGGGCTAAATGTCCAAAATAACTAGAAAAGAAATACAGGCATCACTCAGTGATGACAACTATTATGCAGTGTGCCCTGACATGTGGCTTTGGTTAATATCCCTTAAGCAGGTAAGAGACAGTCAATTAGAAAAGCCCAAATACAGGAGATGAAAATGATGATCAGTGCTGCTCTGAAACCACAGGCTGAGAAAGTCCCCAGTCCTCTTCACCCTCTCTCTATAACAGGCATCAGCAACCACCAGGCCACGGACCATTAATGGAATCAGGCCACACAGCAGGAGGTAGACAGCAGGCAAGCACGTGAAGTTCATCTGTATTTACAGGAACTCCCCATCACTCACACTACCACCTGTGCTCCACCTCCTGTCAGGGTAGTGGCAGAATTCGATTCTCATAGGAGTACAAACTCTATTGTGAACTGCACATACTAGGATTCTAGATTGTGTGCTCCTTATGAAAATCTAATGCCTAATGATCTGATGTAGAGTTGAAGTGGTGATGCTAGTGCTGGGGAGAGGCAGCAAATACAGATTAACATTAGCAGAGAGGCTGACTGCACAAAGACCATAAAAAATCAATTCCTCGCAGACTCATCAAAAGCCTATCAGTGAGTGTCAAATGACAATAAGCTGCATCTGGTGACAGGCTTTATAGTGGCAAATGAGGTGAAGTACTTCAGCTGTACCGCTGCGTTTGTTGCAGGCTTTAAGTCAGAATCTGACACTTATTTTAGTCCACATATAACCCGCCTATGATTTTATTTACTGTCTGCCCCTCTTTCCCGCACTGTGCACTTGTCTTAATCACAGTTTTGGTAAGCTCACAGGCAAATCCCAGCAAAAATGAGTAAAAACCAAACATCACTTAGGAGCTTACTTGAAAAGGGGGAAGACTTAATGATGAGATAGCAGAAGACTAAGCCCATCGACAAAAGAAAGCTACATTTAAAAGAAAATATATAAAATTGTGTAATGTGTGGTGACTGGCTATCCAATATAGTCATGAAAACTTCAAAACTACTTCACCACATGGAGACCAAGTGCCCTGCATTAAAAGACGAACCTTTGGAGTTTTTCAAAAGAAAAAAAAATAACATAAAGAACAGAAGCAATTATTGAAGGCCACCACTTCATCAAATGCGTCTGCACCAAGAGCATCATTCTTAGAGCTTAACTGCATTGCGAAAGCTAAGAAGCCCTTTACTATTGGTGAAGAGTTGACCCTGCCTCCTGCTAAGGACATTTGTCCTGAACATTTAGCAAAGGCTGCAGTTCAAAAGGTGGCACGTATTCCTCTTTTGGCTAGCACCATAACTAGACAAATTGATCAAATAGCAGATATTGAGGCACAATAGTCAGAAAGGATTAATTAGTCACTGTGGTAAGAAATCCAGGTTGACAAGTCTACTGAAGTTGACAACAAGGCAATAATTCTTGTTTTTGTGAGATATATTTTTCAGGGCATTGTGGCCAGGCGTGTGGCTCATGCCTGTAATCCCAGCACTTTGGGAGGGTGAGGTGGTCAGATCATTTGAGGTCAAGAGTTCCAGACCAGCCTGACCAACATGGTAAAACCCTGTCTCTACTAAAATACAAATATTAGCTGGGCATGGTGGTGGCCACCTGTAATCTCAGCTACTCGGGAGACTGAGGCAGGAGAATTGCTTGAACCCAGGAGACAGATGTTGTAGTGAGCCAAGATTGTGCCACTGCACTCCAGCCTGGGTGACAGAGCAAGACTCCCTCTCAAAATAAATAAATAAATACATAAATAAATAATATTTTTTGGAGGATGTGCATGAGGATAAGCTATATGCACTTTCGTTGCCAACCAACACTACAGCTGCACAACTATTCAAGTCTTTGAATGATTACATATCAGGAAAACTGAAGTGGTCATTTTGTGTTGTATATGCACAGATGGAGTGGCTGCCACGACTGGATGGCTTTCTGGTTTCACTACTCGGGTCAGTCCAACAGGTCGCTTCTGAATGTGAGTCTATGCACTGTGTCATCCACAGAGAAATGCTGGCTGGCCAAAAAAAAATGTCATCTCAACTTAACAATGTTTTGCAGGGTGTGATTAAAATTATCAACCACATTAAAGTACATGCCCTTAAATCATGTCTGTTCATGCAGCTCTGTGAGGAGATGGATACAGAGCACTCATGTCTTCTCTTGTACACAGAAGTGAGGTGGCTTTCTAAAGATAGACCACTGGCCAGAGTTTTTGAGTCATGAAGCCTGCTCCAGGGATTCCTTTTCAAAACAGTCATCACTGGCAGCACATTTCAGTGACACAGAATGGGTCGCAAAACTTGCTTACTTGTGTAATGTATTCAACCTGCTCAACAAACTCAATCTGTCAATTTGGGGGAGACTGATAACTGTGTTCCAGTCAGCAGATGAAGTGCCTGCTTTCAAAACCAAATTGGAATTATGGGGCCAACAAGTGAACATTGGGGTTTTTGACATGTTTCAAACATTAGCAGATATTTTGAAAGAGACAGAGCCAGGGCCTCCTTTCTCCCAGCAGGTGCATGATTGCCATTCTTAGGTTTCAAAAGAGTCTGAGCTTTGCCTTCTGTGATGGTTAACACTGAGTGTAAACTCGATTGGACTGAAGAATGCAAAGTATTGATCCTGAGTGTGTCTGTGAGGGTGTTGCCAAAGGAGATTAACATTTGAGTCAGTGGGCTGGGAAAGGCAGACCCACCCTTAATCTGGGTGGGCACCATCTAATCAGCTGCCAGTGTGGCTAGAATATAAAGTAGGCAGAAATCCTGAGTTCTAGTTTGATTGCACTGTGGTCTGAGAGACAGTTTGTTAACTACAGTAACCAAAACAGCATGGTACTGGTACCAAAACAGAGATATAGACCAATGGAACAAAACAGAGCCCTCAGAAATAATGCCACGTATCTACAACTATCTGATCTTTGAAAAACCTGACAAAAACAAGAAATGGGGAAAGTATTCCCTATTTAATAAATGGTGCTGGGAAAACTGGCTATCCATATGTAGAAAGCTGAGACTGGATCCCTTCCTTACACCTTATACAAAAATTAATTCAAGATGGATTAAAGACTTAAATGTTAGACCTAAAACCATAAAAACCCTAGAAGAAAACCTAGGCAATACCATTCAGGACATAGGCACAGGCAAGGACTTCATGTCTAAAATACCAAAGGCAATGGCCACAGAAGCCAAAATTGACAAATGGGATCTAATTAAACTAAAGAGCTTCTGCACAGCAAAAGAAACTACCATCAGAGTGAACAGGCAACCTACAGAATGGGAGAAAATGTTTGCAATCTACTCATCTGACAAAGGGCTAATATCCAGAATCTACAATGAACTCAAACAAATTTACAAGAAAAAAACAAACAACCCCATCAAAAAGTGGGCGAAAGATATGAACAGACACTTCTCAAAAGAAGACATTTATGTAGCCAACAGACACAAGAAAAAGTGCTCATCATCACTGGCCATCAGAGAAATGCAAATCAAAACCACAATGAGATACCATCTCACACCAGTTAGAATGGCAATCATTAAAAAATCAGGAAACAACAGGTGCTGGAGAGGATGTAGAGAAATAGGAACACTTTTACACTGTTGGTGAGACTGTAAACTAGTTCAACCATTGTGGAAGTCAGTGTGGAGATTCCTCAGGGATCTAGAACTAGAAATACCATTTGAACCAGCCATCCCATTACTGGGTCTATACCCAAAGGATTATAAAACATGCTGCTATAAAGACACATGCACACATATGTTTATTGCAGCACTATTCACAATAACAAAGACTTGGAACCAAGCCAAATGTCCAACAATGATAGACTGCATTGAGAAAATGTGGCACATATACACCATGGAATACTATGCAGCCATAAAAAAGGATGAGTTCATGTCCTTTGTAGGGACATGGATGAAGCTGGAAACCATCATTCTCAGCAAACTATCGCAAGGACAGAAAACCAAACACCGCATGTTCTCACTCATAGGTGGGAATTGAACAATGAGAACACATGGACACAGGAAGGGGAACATCACACACCGGGGACTGTTGAAAGGTAGGGGGAGGGGGGAGGGATAGCATTAGGAGATATACCTAATGTTAAATGATGAGTTACTGGGTGCAGCATACCAACATGGCACATGTATACGTATGTAACAAACATGCACGTTGTGCACATATACCCTAAAACTTAAAGTATAATAAAAAAATAAATAAAAAATAAAGCAGGTAGAAAAATGTGAGAAGACTACACTGGCTAGCCTCCAAGGCTACATCTTTCTCCCATGCTGGATGCTTCCTGCCCTGGAACATCAGACTACAAGTTGTTCAGTTTTCACTCAGACTGGCTCTCCTTGCTCCTCAGCTGGCAGACGGACTATTGTGGGACCTTGTGATCATATGAGTTACTACTTAATAAACTCCCCTTATATATATCTATCTATCCCATTAGTTCTGTCCCTCTAGAGAACCCTGACTGATACACTTTCCCGCCACAAAAGACCCCTGAGCTGGGAAGGAATGGATTTGTGATCCATTTTGTGAATAACCTGTGAATCCACTTAGTCTGTGCTAGAAGAGGATTAACTGCTTGAGATCACAAATGATGGCGGCCTTAAAAGTAAGTTTGACACAAATTCAAACCTCCATACATTCTGGATTAATGTCAAAGTGGAATATCCTGAGATTGCCACAAAAGCACTGAAAAGTCTGCTTCCATTTCCAACATCCGATCTTTGTGAAGCAGAGTTTTCTGCAGTGACACCAACCAAATTGAGATTATGAAGTAGACTGGACATAAGAAGCACACTTCAGGTGTCACTGACTCCCATCACTTCCAGATAGGACCATTTAGTTGCAGGAAAGCTAGCTCAGGGTTCCAACCGATTCTACATGATAGTGAGTTGTATAATTTTTATTGTATATGACAATGTAATAATTACAGAAATAAAGAGCACAACAAATGTGATGCATATGTTTTCATCCTGAAAACATGCCCTGCTCTGGTCTATAGAAAAATTATCTTCCCTGAAACTGGTCCCTGGTGGCAAAAAGGTTGAGGACCACTTTACTATAGGGTAGGGGTTGTTCATCAGGGATATGGGGGACAATCTAAGTACAATAACATCAAGGTCGTTTGACCTAAGAGCAAGATTTATGATAAATACCTGCTCCTACACAAAGAACAATAAATGAACTGGAAATCTTAGAGGGCTTCCTAGAACAAGGGTTAATCAGAAGCCAACATGACAAATTAGCTTCCCAGATGGAGTTGCTCTAGCCTCCAACTGTCATCATCAATCCAACTTTTATAATCTCACGTGTCCTTTTCCTCAATGGTTCCTGAGCCTTTAGGGAGAGTGCCTGAATATTATATATTATACAGCTTTAGCAGCAGTGCATTGGCAATGCAAAACAGATAGTGCCCAATGGGATTCCAAATGAGGGAGATTCACGGGTTCTGTTGAATCATCTCTAGTCTCCAGCATACCATGACTTTGGTTTTCTCGGAAGAAGTAAAACAATGAGAGATACATAACATGAATAACTTGAATAGTAGAAATATAATGCATATGAGGATTATAATCAAAAGAGAATTTGGATGCCAGCATATCACCAACAGAAAAGGAATGTATTCCATTAGGTAGCCAATTAAAATTATCTTGAAGAAAGTTAAAACCCAGTTATTATTAAATAATTCTTACAGCCAGTAAGTAATTCAGGATTAAGCCCAAATTGCAGGCAAGTAATAAAAACTCAAAAGCAATGGTCAGGGCTAGAATCCAATTATTTGTCTCTTTAGGTTTCCCATTTCTACCAAGGATAAATCATAGTAGGAATAATTTATTAGCAAAATAAATTTTGGTCTCACTGTTCTTGGCCTGATTATTTGCATGAAATATAGCAATAATAGTGATTAGACTTATAGGTTCCTTTTAAGTCAGCTTTCCTGGAACTTTGTTGTTGTTGTTATTGTTGTTGGAGTCTCGTTCTGTCGCCCAGGCTGGAGTGCAGTGGCGTGATCTCGGTTCACTGTAGCCTCCACCTCCTGGGTTCAAGCAATACTCCTGCCTCAGCATTCCGAGCAGCTGGGACTACAGGAATGCACCGCCATGCATAGCCAATTTTTGTATTTTTAGTAGAGACAAGGTTTTACCATACTGGCCAGGCTGGTCTCGAACTCATGATCCACCCACCTCGGACTCCCTAAGTGCTGGGATTACAGGTGTGAGCCACTGCACTCGACCGCTGGAACTTTTATAAATAATTTCATATTTGACTTTTTAAAAGCCTCAAGGCTAGAAGCCAAGCCAAAGAATCACCATTAGACTGTTTGTATTCCCTGTACAAATACCTCTCTTCTCAAGATCACAAAATATCTTGAGGTTCCTGGGCCTGCTAGAAAGTGACATTCTTTAATTACCACTGGTCAGCAGCCTTATAAGTCACCCATTTAGACAACATGCTAGGCTAGTCTTTCCAAGGGGCTTTTTATTGACTCTATAAATCTGACTTCAATTCCTCAAAGCAGTATGGTCATATCGCAAAAGATACTATTCCAGTATACAATATTCCAGACAAAGCCTTGGTAAATTAACCAATGTTTCCAATCTTATCCTGTTACAAAAGGAAATAGATTCTTACTGAACTTAGGCAAATAACCATATTGCCATAAAATAAGGATACTCATAAATATTTTACAAATTTTGGAGAACTGAGAGGGAAAGGTAAATTTTGCTCACACACACACAAAAATACTTTACCCATATTCTCTATGCTATAAATGGCTAGAAAGAAAAAGAGGTTTTCTTGACTCTTCTTCAATCAGAGTAGCAACCTTCTACACAAGATGTTGTCCATTTACTTTGGAACTGCCATCCATTAACCAAGAAGTGCTTTGTAAGTCAGGTGAGAACTGCTGATAAGCCACTGTGGAATCCAGAAGCTCCCCATACAGTTCCAGAGTTAGTCCTAGGGGAAAAAGAAGCTCCTTGCTTGTGAGTATCTCCACTTCATGATCTCCAGGTAGCATGATCCTATATAAACCATTTCTATTAGCATGGAACTCTTGGGCACTGCTATCCCCATTAGCATAGGAGTGATTCAGTTAATGCCCCACAGCAAGGCGGTAAATACCTATCAAGTGGAAATTCTCTAATCCACAGTCCCAGTTGGCATCATTGTGAGGTGGTCATAGGCTTTTGCCATAAATCCTAGTAAATGCCTTACAAAGGGCTATTAGGTGAAGAATTTGTCCAGACCAGCACTTTAGCTTCTATTCTACACTCTGTAGACTCCAGAAATCTTATCAGTTTTCATTAGTGGGTCCAATCAACATTGCTAAAAGAGTGGATGTATCTACATTTGGTCTGATAGTACTAGGTAGAGGAAATGCCTCCAGTTAGATACAATATTCATTTTCATAGACATTTAAATGAGTCACAACTACTTCAAATAAAGCCTATTTAAATATTTTAATTTTCATAATCTTATCAACCTATACATTTTTATGTTATGGTCTCAGGAATTTCTTTTCTCCACACTCAGACCATTTTACCCTCTGTTGTGAAAAAGGATTTGGGTTTCCAGCAGGAGGGTGAGCCATGGGATTCTAATACTTTTGTTAATCTTTATCTTTGTCTAACCTTGGACTAACCTGCTTCAGCATTGCCTTGGGCAATTGTTGGCTGGTTTTCTCATGAAAACTTTTGCCTCGTAATTTTTTAAAATATATTTTTCTAATCTAGGGTAAATCCAGAAAACTGATTTGGAGCCATTAATGTTAGGGGGCCAGCAGGGGCTCCCTTTGGACCAACAACTTTTGATAGTGTTGTGTTAAGACTACTGTTTTAATGTCATAAATTTCCATTTTATTCCTTCCATTTCTTATTAATGATTTAAAGTTTCTAGTATTTTTAATTACATGTATTAACTACTATTTTAACTCTGATTAACTCCAATTTCCAGTGAGAAACCTAGGATTACTTAATTTAACATACCATGACTTTAGGGTTTTAAATTACTAAATCTAATTTGAAACTAGTTTTATTCACCAAAGAGCACTCAAGTCCTGTGAAATAAAAGGCATTTGAGTTAACATATGTTTTTCTGATAAAAATGGTTGATTTAAGCACTTACTTTTCTTTAAGCCAATTGATTAAAGCTCTTTCATATATTTTAGTAGTGACGTATAACATACACATGATCTATAAACATATATGCACACACCCAGACAGAGGCAGATCTTACAGATTTATAAGATTCTTCAGTTGCCAGTTTTTTAACAGTTTCTCTCTCCATCCTACACTATTAATCATTTTCAAAGACATGATGTTTAGGTGAAACAAGGTAGAACGTTTCCCTCTCAAAGGCACTGAACTTAGACCTAAACACATTTATCTACAAAGAAGATTACCAGGAAAAGTGTGCTCTTTTCAACCTATCTTGTTTCTTCGGTAGATTACTGGCTTCATTGTGGAGCCCCTTCAAGAACAGAGCCAAGAAAGCACCATGCTTTCCTTATCCAAACACCCAAAGAAACAAGTAGCCCACTGCAGTAATAATCATTTACTACAACCCACCATTAGCCACCTTTAACACTATAGTTCTCACCATGGCTGCCAGCCAATACACACCAAAGTCAAGTTCTCTCACAATACCAAGCAATTTCTGGTATCCCCCCAAAAGTTAAAGAGATCAAGTAATACTACAAAAGAGAACAGAGTTTTAGACCTGAGAGGAGTCTCTCTGCTTAAAGCTTTTGGGATTCCATGAGGAAAAACAGATTCCTCCCAAAAAAACAGTGTCTTTGGCACCTTTCTGTTTTCCACAAGGAATCCCAGCCTGTTAGACATTTCCTCTATTAGGGCCCTCATTTGTCATCAGAGGTAGCAAGGGAAAAGAGGGATAGAGAGAAGCAAATGGAGAAACAGACAAGAATCAGTCAACTGAAAAGTTTTACAACAGAGAGCAGAGGCTTTAAAACAATACATGCATGTACACATATAGTCCAAATATCAGTTTTAACTAAGTCAATTTTTGACAATACAGCTCTTTAAAAAATTGTTTTTCTAATTGTAATTCCTACTGAAGTCATTTTACTTTGCTTCTGCTGCTAGTTGGGCTCCCATCGTCAAAGAGGCAGCCCACAGAAGAGGCCATCTTACTACAGCTGCTGCTGGCTGCTGTTCCTTATGCCATGTAGTGTGATGGGCAGCTCTCTACTTAAAATTGTTCTAAACATGCTGATGTATTCAAGGCATCCCTGGACTCATGCACAAGCATCTAAAAGCTGAGCCATACCATGTCACATGGAAGTGGGTGCCACCTGGGATTTCCCCCACAGATGCTTCATTCTTTTTGTCCATGTCTTGGGCTGTCAGCTCCTGGCCTGGCTCACATTTTAATGTAGGCAGGTCTATGCAAACCTATCTCAAAGTCTGAGGAAGCTAAAAGGCTGAAGAAAGAGGTGGACAAATCCAGTTTCTTAGAATAAATATTTAATAGTGTCTTATGAACAGAAGCTATGTCTGTGTCTCCGGTGGCAGTGAGAAAAGATGGTGGATCCTCACCAGATTTCTGTCTTTATCTTAACCAATGACTGTACTGCATGTGTTTTTATTATCTCATTTTCTAGCTGTGTTAGTCAGAGATTTCTAGAGAGACAGAACTAATAGGTTAGATGTATATATAAAAAGGAGTTTATTAAGTATTAACTCACATGATCACAGGGTCCCACAATAGGCCATTTGCAAGCCGAGGAGCTAGGAAGCCAGTTCAAGTGTCAAAGCTGAAGAACTTTGAGTCCAACATTTGAGGGCCAGAAGAATCCAGCATGGGAAAAAGATGTAGGCTGAGGGACTAAGCCAGTCTAATCTCTCCACGTTCTTCTGCCTGCTTTATTATTATTATTATTATTATTATTATTATTATTATACTTTAAGTTTTAGGGTACATGTGCACGATGTGCCAGTTAGTTTCATATGTATACATGTGCCATGCTGGTGTGCTGCACCCATTAACTCGTCATTTAGCATTAGGTATATCTCCTAATGCTATCCCTCCCCGCTCCCCCCACCCCACAACAGTCCCCAGAGTGTGATGTTCCCCTTCCTGTGTCCATGTGTTCTCATTGTTCAATTCCCATCTATGAGTGAGAACATGTGGTGTTTGGTTTTTTGTCCTTGCGATAGTTTACTGAGAATGATGGTTTCCAATTTCATCCATGTCCCTACAAAGAACATGAACTCATCCTTTTTTATGGCTGCATAGTATTCCATGGTGTATATGTGCCACATTTTCTTAATCCAGTCTATCATTGTTGGACATTTGGGTTGGTTCCAAGTGCTGTGCTGGCAGCTGATTAGATGGTGCCCACCTGGATTGAGGGTGGGTTTGCCTCTCCCAGTCCACTGACTCAAATGTTAATCTCCTTTGGCAACACACTCACATACACTCCCAGGAACAATACTTTGCATCTTCAATTCAATTAAGTTGCCATTCAGTTTTAACCCTCACACTATCATTTCTATGATGGTTAATTTTTGCTTCACTGAAAATACAAAAACTTTTTTAGCATTTCATTTGTTTTCTATGATGTTTTTCAAAATACAAAATGTTTGTCTAAAATACAAATGTTCAGTTTTTCTTATTTAAATTTCATACTAATATTATCCCAGGGCCTATGAATCACTGCTTACTTCTAAATATAAATACAGTGTTTGCTTGTGTTAAGAGTAAATCTGTTATTGCTGTTCAGTTTCTTAATACTAAAGCTTTTTTACAGATCATTCTTGTAGATGCTTCTTACAGCATTATAAGAGACTAATATTTATAACCCTTGTAAAAGTTCTGTAGTTGTTTTGTTAACATTTATTCATGCATGTATTTACCAAATATTTATTTTGTGTAGTCCATATGGTAGGTAGCATGCTATGAGCTGGCAATAAAGAGTGAGTAATTCTGTAGGCCCTTGTGGATTTTTCAGTCTAGCAATCATATATGTAAGAGGACCTAGTAAGGGCTTGAGGTCTCATTATCTTGAACATCTTGCTATGCAAAGAAACTTTATTCTTCATTATTTGCATAAGCCTTTGGTAGCCAGACGTTAGTTGTTTGCTTAATTAGCCTCCCATGTAAAGCACTCACACTGCCCTTTCAGACTCAATATCATCACCAATTAAAATTTAATCTCGAAAATATAAGTAGAGAAATTTTAGTAAGAGACATGTAGACCATTAGGAGTCATTTCTAATGTTGAATGTGTACTTATTGGGGCCACGAACAGGCATAAGTATTTTACACGTATTGTCTCATTTAATATCTAAAACAGCATGACATAATAATAACAAAAATAATTTAAATTAATTGATTTTATATGCTATGTGTAAGTTACTGTTTTAGGAACACAGTATTAATTCATTTAATTCTCACCAAAATTCTCTGATGTAGGCACTATTACCATCCTGTTTTAGTCTGTTTGGGCTGCTATATAAAAATACCATAAGCTGGGTGGCTTAGAAAGAACAGAAATTGGCTGGGCGCAGTGGCTCATGCCTGTAATCCCAGCACTTTGGGAGGGTGAGACAGGCCAATCACAAGGTCAGGAGATCGAGACCATCCTTGCTAACATGGTTAAAACCTCGTCTCTACTAAAAATACAAAAAATTAGCCAGGCGTGGTGGCCCGTGCCTGTAGTCTCAGCTACTCGGGAGGCTGAGGCAGGAGAATAGCTTGAACCCAGGAGGTGGAGGTTACAGTGAGCCACGATCACACCACTGCACTCCAGCCTGGGCAACAGAGTGAGACTTCATCGCAAAAACAAAACAAAACAAAAAGAACCAAAATTTATTTTTTACAGTTTTGGGGGCTTGGAAGTTAGTCTAAGATCAAGACAGTGGCAGATTTGATGTCTGGTGTAGACCCATTTCCTGGTTCACATATCTGTGAAGTTCTAGCTGTGACCACATATAAAAGAAGAGGCATAAAGCTCTCTGGGCTTTTATTTATTTATTTTTTAATGGGCACTAATCTCATTCATGAGGACTCCACCTTTACTCTCTAATTACTTCCTAAAAGTAACACTTTTTAATTCCATCACATTAGTGATGATACAAATTGTCAGGAAGGACAGAAACATTCAGACCATAGCACATCCTTATTAGGAATAAAAAGTGGAAGTAATACCCCAATGTCACATGGCTAGTAAGTGGTAACAGCAGGATTTGAGACTAGGCAGTCTAAAACCAAAGTCTGCTGTCTTAACCACTGTGCTACATTGCTCCTCAAGTGGGTACTAGTCATCATTGTCATTTTACAGATAAGAAAAAAGAGCAGAGAAAGTTTGAGTAACTTGATAGTCTTGTAAATTGTGCAGCCCTAAATTTCAGTCTGACTTTAAAGTCTGGACTATGGAACAGGTAATATCCTTCTTTATCTATTCAAAAAACAGAAAACATTTGGAAGTAATCTTGTTTAGGGGACAGAGACCTTTTTCCTCTCTCATTGGAAAATAATCTGTATCCTTGTGTCAACTGTATATGATAGAATTTAGAAGACAAATTCTTCTTATTTCTCTGTATTGACACCTTGATATGGTTTGGCAGTGTCCCCATCCAAATATTATCTTGAATTGTAACTCCCACAATTCCCATATGTCTTGGGAGGAACCTGGTGGGAGGTTATTATATTTGGGGGCAGGTCTTTCCTGTGCTGTTCTCGTGATAGTGAATGAGTCTCACAAGATCTGATGGTTTTAAAAAATGGAAGTTTCCCTGCGCAAACTCTTTTCTCCTGTCTGCTGCCATGTGAGACATGCCTTTAACCTTTTGCCATGATTGTGAGGCCTCCCCAGCCATGTGGAACTATAAGTCCAATAATTCTTTTTCCTATATAAATTTCCCAGTCTCGGGTATGTCTTTATCAACAGCATGAAAATGGACTAATATGGTAAATTGGTACCAGGAGTGGGGTGTTGCTGAAAAATACCTGAAAATGTGGAAGCAACTTTGGGACTGGGTAACAGGCAAAGGTTGGAACAGTTTGGAGGGCTTCAAAAAGACAGGAAAATGTAGAAAAGTTTGGAACTTCCTAGAGACTTGTGGAATGGCTTTGACAAAATGCCGATAGTGATATGAACAATAAGGTCCAGGCTGAGATGGTCTCAGATAAAGATGAGGAACTTGTTGGGAACTGGAGCAAAGGTGATGCTTGTTAGGTTTCAGCAAAGAGACTGGTGGGTTTTTGCCCCTGCCCTAGAGATTTGTGGAACTTTGAACTTGAGGGAGATGTAGGGTATCTGGTGGAATAAATTTCTAACCAGCAAAGCATTCAAGGGGTGACTTGGGTGGTGTTAAAGACATTTAGTTTTATAAGGAAAGCAGAGCATAAAAGTTCAGAAAATGTGCAGCCTGACAATGCAATAGAAAAGAAAATCCCATTTTGTGAGAACCAATTCAAGTCAGCTACAGAAATTTGTATAAGTAATGAGGAGCCAAATGTGAATCCCGAAGGTAATGGGGAAAATGTCTCCAGGGCACCTCAGAGGTCTTCACACCAGCCCCTCTCATCACAGGCCTGGAGGCCTAGGAGGAAAACATAGTTTCTTGGGTCAGGCCCAGGGTCCCTGTGCTGTGTTCAGCCTAGGAACTTGGTGCCCTGCATCCAGTCTGCTCCAGCCGTGGCTGAAAGGGGCCAATGTGGAGTTCAAGCTATGGCTTCAGAGGGTGCAAGCCTCAAGCCTTGGCAGCTTCCGTGTGGTGTTGAGCCTGCAAGTGCACAAATGTCAAGAATTGAGGTTTGGGACTCTCTGCCTAGATTTCAGAAGATGTATGGAAATGCCTGAATGCCCAGGCAGAAGTTTGGTGAGGGGTAGTGCTCTCATAGATAACCTCTGCTAGGGCAGTGTGAAAGGGAAATGTGGGGTCAGAGCCCTCACACAGGGCCCCTACTGGGGCACTGCCTAGTGGAGCTGCGAGAAGAGGCCCCAGAAATGGTAGATCCATCAACAGCTTGCACCATGCACCTGGAAAAGCTGCAGACACTCATTGCTAGTCTGTGAAAACAGCCAAGAAGGAGACTGTACCCTGCAAAGCTGCAGGGGCAGTGCCACCCAAGACCATGGGAACCCACCTCTTGCATCAGCATGACCTGGATGGGAGACATGAAGTCAAAGATCATTTGGGATCTTTAAGATTTGACTGATGGATTTCAGACTTGCTTGGGGCCTGTAGCCCCTTTGTTTTGGCCAATTTCTCCCATTTGGAATGGCTGTATTTACCCAATACCTGTACCCCCCATTGTATCTAGGAAGTAACTAACTTGGTTTTGATTTTACAGGCTCATGGGCGGAAAGGAATTGCCTTGTCTCAGATGAGACATTGGACTGTGGACTTTTAAGTTAATGTTGAAACGAGTTAAGACATTGGGGGACTGTTGGAAAGGCATGATTTGTTTAGAAATGTGAGGACATGAGATTTGGGAGGGGCCGGAGGTGGAATGACGTGGTTTGGCTGTGTCCCCACCCAAATCTCATCTTGAGTTGTAACTCCCACAATTCCTACATGTTGTGGGAGGAACCCAGTGGGAAGGTGATTAAATTATGGATGTGGGTCCTTCCAGTGCTGTTCTTACGATAGTGAATGAGTCTCACAATCTCTGATGATTTTACAAAATGGAAGTTTCCCTGCACAAACTATTTTCTCTTGTCTGCTGCCATGTGAGACATGCCTTTCACCTTCTGCCATGATTGTGAGGCCTCCCCAGCCATGTGGAACTGTAAGTCCAATAAATCTTTTTCCCGTGTAAGTTTCCCAGTCTTGGGTATGTCTTTATCAGCAGCATGAAAACGGACTAATACACACACACCTCCTCCACATTTTGGTCCTTGGAAATTCTTTTTTAAAGTAGTCATATTATTATAAAATATTTTTGCTTTCCTTATGGTTGATGCATTGACTTTATTTTATTTATTTTTTTTTGCATTTCAATGAGACATTAGAGGGGCTGAATCAGGAGTTGCTATTTCTCCAACATACTCTCAACTCCATAATTCTACATTTTAAAGTTAATTAAAATAAATTTTGTTTTTGTAATTTTAAAAGTTTTTTGTAGCCTTTGAGAGTGCCTTTCCTGATGTCACAAAAAGAGGGTTAGATATCATTGTGCTAAAATAAGATGCCACAGGCATCTGCCATGAGCCAACACATTTAAGTTTCCAAATGAATTCAGGTTTCCATGGAAACAGCCTTAAGGTCTATAGATTAGATACATTAAATGTACATGAAACTTTGCCCCAATTTTCATGTAGATATCTGCTGGGGCAGAGGCAAACCCAATACAGGAATTTGTCCAAGGTTGCTCCTTCATAGGAATGAGAAATGGGATTTGTAATTTTGGTCCCTTGCTCTCCAGCCTGCTGTTCTGCTTGCCGAGTCACACTGTCTTCCAGCTGTTCTTCTGTTAGTGTACCTCCCCAAGAACAGCTAGTAGTTCCCCAAGGTTCTTTGCTGTACATATAGAACAATTAAAGACAAATCTATCTACAGAGAAAAACAAATTTTGACTCCCTGGAGAATATTGCCTAAATCCCAATTCCTCAGGTCATACATTATATAGAAAAATGTCTCAAACACGAAGTGCACTGGTGGCATTTGCCATTGAATAGAATTTGTACATTTAAAAACCAGCACCGCCAGATTCAGACCACAAGCCCTGACTTGAATTTTGGTATGCCACTCAAATCTGTGTGCCTTTAAGCAAATCAGTTATTCCCTGAACCCTAGTCTTCCTCTTCTATAAAATATAATTAGGGTAATCTGATGTTATGCAAACATATACATTATGAAAGTACAATTAACTCAATAAATAAATTTTTGTTTACTCTCTAAACTATATATTCTAACAATGTTGAGGTCGTCGTTAATTATAGGTTTTTTGTATGGTTAATATTGCATTTACTCAAAAGATAATGCCACAGTGTTCAAAACAATTAGAACATTTTCTGTGGCAAAGAAAAATATTAATTTGAAATGGCTTTAAAATTTAATACATTTATGTCACAAAATGTGATGGTTAATTTCATACCTGAATGCAGTTGTCAAAATCCTAGGTTCTTTGTAATTTCCCAATGCTATCCTTTGTGTATTCATTTTCTATCAATGCAAGTTAGATTCAGCAGTTGTAGGATCATACCCACACCTGATAATATCCTCTTTGTCTGCTTTAGGATTGAGAAAACCTTTTCTAAAGGGCTCTCATTGATTTCCCCTCATGTCACATTTACCAGATTTAGTCACAAGCTTATACCTAAAATAATTGACAAGTGAAAGAACTACCAGGCCGGGCGCGGTGGCTCACGCCTGTAATCCCAGCACTTTGGGAGGCCGAGGCGGGCGGATCACGAGGTCAGGAGATCGAGACCATCCTGGCTAACACGGTGAAACCCTGTCTCTACTAAAAATACAAAAAATTAGCCGGGCGTGGTAGCGGGCGCCTGTAGTCCCAGCTACTCGGGAGGCTGAGGCAGGAGAATGGCGTGAACCCGGGAGGCGGAGCTTGCAGTGAGCCGAGATCGCGCCACTGCACGCCAGCCTGGGCGACAGAGCGAGACTCCGTCTCAAAAAAAAAAAAAAAAAAAAAAAAAAGAACTACCACATTTGTTGGCTAGCCCCATCTATGCTTCTTATTTTCTCACAGGCTGGGATAGAATCAGCTTCAGTAAAGCACATGCACCTGAAGAAGAGAAGAAAATACCTGAACATTGTAATCTCGGGATTTCGGAAGGCCAAAGCAGGAGGATCACTTGAGGCTAGAAGATTAAGACAAGCCTGGATAACATAGGGAGACTCCATCTCTATTAAAAGCAAAAACAAAACCAGGAAAACCCTGAACAAATCAAAGTAATGTTAGAAAAAAATAATGGGAAGTTAAATACTGGAATATAATTAAGAGAGTTTGCTATAGCTAAAAAAATAACAATAGTTCATCAGATGCAGTTGACTAAAACAGGAGGAGTTAAGGTTGGAGGTGGGATTAGAATGAAGCAGCTTAACATTTTTAAAAATATGAAAATAATGTTAGAGTAAATTAATTTCCTTCTATTCCTCCTGTTAAGTACAACTAAAAACTCAGGCCATTGTACTGAGTTTTCTGGGTTTTATTTTTGCCTCATATACCCCAGACTTGGAGATAAACACTGGCAACCCAGAAACACAAATGGGCCCAGATAAATACAAACAAACAGCCTTCTCTTTCCAGGCAAAGGACTAGGAATGGGCAGGCTGGCAAGACAGAAATGTGTTAGATAATCACCACTGTATTCTAGTCAAATATACACACGTTCACACAAACTATGGCGTCATTTCCACCCACAGCAGCAGTGACCAAGTAGGATGCCTAGATGTCCACCCTTGCAAGGCCCCAACACCTACACCAGTGTGGTATCAGAGGAGACCAAGTTTGGAGCTGGGACTTTAGTACCTTCTGGCAGGTAAGAAGCTTATTCCTTCCTATGGCCTTAGTGAACCCCAAGTGGGGATACAGGACTTTCATTCCCACTGAACAGTAGCAAGACAGCCCTCCCCTTTAACTAGGGATGGTGTCAGGTGGAGATTCGGAACTTTTACAATTTCCCAACAATACTAAAAGAAACCTCACCCTGGCATCAGCAGAGACTATGTGGGGATCCAGATTGTCACCCTCACCTTATTTAAGGAGCCAAAACCCTTGGATCTCAATGGAGGCCAAATGGGCAAACGGAGAATCTGAACTTTTAGTTCTACCTGGCAGTAATGAGGCAGAGCTGTAACAGAAAAAAAAAAAAAGTGAACATAAAGTTTAAATAAAATCCAAACAAAAAATGAACCTAGAAATAAGTGTCTCACCTTTTGCAAAAATTAACACAAAATGAGTCCTTGACTTAACCATAAAACAGAACTGTAAAACTTTTAGAAAAAAATAGCAGAAAACTTTTTGATTTAGGACCATACAAAGTGTTTTTACACTTGATATCAAAAGAACAACCCATAAAAGGAAATGCTGATAAATAGTACTTCAAAATTTAAAAATTTTGCTTTGTGAAAGACCAAGTTAAAAAGATGAGAAGGTAAGCTACAGAGTGATAGATGATATTCAAACATCACCCATCCAAAAGTAGACTCATTTCTAAGATATTTAAAGAAATCTCAATACTCAACAATAAAAGAAAGCAAACAATCCAGAACAATCCAATGAGAACATGAGAAAAAGAGATAAAGAAACAGTTCACTAAAGAATATACATAGACAGCAAGTAAGCAAATAAATATATATTCATAATCATTAGCAGTTAGGTAAATGCAAAGTAAAACCATGCTGAGATATCACCATATGTCTACCAAAATGCTTATTTATTTTTTTTTAAGTAACACCACCAGATGATGGCTAGGAGGTAGAAAAGTAGATCAGTCACATATATTACTGATGGGAATGCCAAATACTCCAGCCACTCTGGAAAATTAAACTGTTAATTTTAAAATATGAAACATCAAATTGCCATATTTATGGCATTCATTGAAGATAACTGAAGGATCTTGTTCAAATAAAAACCAACGTGTGGATATTTATAGCAGCTCAAAATTTGTAATAGCTCAAAATTAAAAACAACCCAGATGTCCTTCAGCAGGTAAGTGGTTAAAAAACTGTGGTACATCTGCAACATGGAGCACTATTCACCAGTAAAAATTACTGAGTTATTGGCACATGCAACAAGTGGATGAATCTCCAGATAACTATGCTGATTGAAAACTTCAATCCAAAAAGATTATATACTGTTTGACTTCATTTACATAATGTTCTTGAATAACAGAATTATAAAATCTGAGAACAATGTGGTTGTTTTCAGGGATTATGGATAAAGAAGCTTACTTTAGGAGAATCACAAAACTAGTAGAAAGTATTAGAATATATTGATGAGATAGCTAATGAGAAGTAATTATTAGACTATAGTGCTTTGGCATCTAAAATTGGGGTCAATAATCTGTAAGAATAAAGAAGACAGGATTAATTTAAGAAAATGTAGGGATAAAGAATGAATATTACATATTCAGCAATGGATTCTAGCTAACAGTATTTGATGTTATCTCTTTCCAACTCTCATTAGACAGTGTGACATGAAAAACAGTAAAATCTTACAACACTATCAAAACTGAGACTAATTGCTAATGCATATCATTGGCATCTGGATAGAATCTCCTAACAATAAATGGGAGCTAGAGCTGAATAAAATGAACGACACAAATATCACCATTAAGAATTCAAATGATGTTGGATTAAACTCATACGATAGACTCTGATGGGAAAAAATCGATCTATCATTTATTTATTTTTATTCCTATAACTAGGCATTCATGTCTCAAAGACTCAAAATTTATCTCACCCATCATCCATCGATCCATCCAGCCATCCTTCTATTTTGTTGATGATTATTAGTGACATATTTACCTACCCACCTCTTCTGGAAGAGTACCTTTATGGATGATAACTGATAGAAATTATATGACACAGAGAGAGGGAGAGTGAGTGTGTGTGTGTGTGTGTGTGTGTGTGTGTATGTGTACTAAACGGGGAGAAGCTGGCAGTGGAACAACAAAAGAACAAAATGTTGGGAGTAGACAAAAGAAGAGCCATGTTAGCAATATGTCATTGTAATTTTAGTTTTTCTTGAGTAGAATTGGTACTGCATTACAGAATAGGTGAAAAGATTTTTGCCATTCTACTCCAAAGCTGCACAAAAGAAATTACTGTTAGAAATTCAATATGGCTTCAAACTCCTTTTGCTGACTTCTGACTTGAAGTTGAAGACAAATATCAATGATTATTGCAGTGAAAAGTGAATTGAACCAAAAGAAACTCATATACCTCTATCACCAAACATTGAGTCTGGATAGGAATGCATTTATTTAATACAACAGAAAGAAAATCGGCCATTGAGCCTAAGTCTGGGCAGTCAGGGTAATTGCAGAAAAACCGGAATATACATCACACTGAAGACTCAGAATATGAGAAAAAAACAGCTCAAACCTAAGGTCTTACAAGATCTAGAATTTTTAAGAATGAGACTGGTTTTTAAATAAGTAAGGAGATATAAAGGACTTTTCTAGAATAAAAGCAGAGAATTACAAAGATGAAATAGATTGAATTAAATAGATTACCAAATGCTGTATAAAATGAGACGAATGAAAATAAATAAAACTAAATTATAAAACTACAATAAATGAATTAAAGTCCATGATATATAAAAATAGGCACTGCTGAAAGTTGGATCATTGACGTACAATACAAACTGCAGAAAGTCCCTTATAAAAAAGGACAAAATGACATACATTCTAAGATGGAAAATAATATATTTAGAAGAGTGATTCATATATTTAATGTACATAATAAACTGTAGGCATATTTTAGTAGTAATAAATATAAACTTTCTAGAAAATCTAAGCTAATATATTTTCAAGGCCACAGATTTAAACGGCTTATTGGGTTCCAGAACAATGAATATAAAAAAATTGTGAAAAAATATATTTTAAAATGTGTAAAGTAAAAAGATGTGCAAATTAAGTTTAAACAAAGGTTGAAAATTAAAAGTTTAGGAAAAAACAGTGGATTGACAGGAGGATGGATACAAGGAAAAGGTTAAAATCTATTCACTTTTAATGTTATAGAGCATAATAACAGGCTTCCTATGGTAGTCAGCATCCAAGGTGTCTTTTAATAACCCACATCTGTTGATACTGGCAGTCTTTTATAGCCTCCTTCCACATTTCACCAGGGTTTATTTATATGATCACTAGTATATGATAGATATGATGATCAGTCACTTGTGAGATTAGTTAATAAAAAGACTTTAGCTTCCATTTTGGGCTTGCTATCTCTCACTCTCTCATGAAAGATGAGCTCCTTCATCTTTCTTTCTCTGTTTGTCTCTTGGTGTTGTCTTCCTCTCTCTCTCACTGTCTGTCTCTCTCATCGGCTTCTGCTCTTTCTCTTGGATCTGTGAGTAACCTGCTGTGTTTTAAGCAATCCAATAAAGAGGCTCATGTAGTGACAAATTAAACCATCTGGCCAATAGCCATAGAGGAACTGAAGACTACCAACAACCATTAAACTGAGCTTGGAAGCCCTTTTTCCAGCTCAAGTTGAGTCTTAGAAGAATATAAGCACTGGCTGACAACTTTACAGCAATCTCATGGGAGAGTCTGCCCCAGAACTAATCAGCTAAGCCAATCCTGGATTCTTGACCCTCAGAAACCATGTGAGGTAAGTAAAGTGTATTTATTTAAGATGATAAATGTTGAGGTGATTTGATATTCAGCAACAGATATGTAATTCACCTCCCAATCGTTTTTATTAAAATAGCCAATCACTAAAAAAAAAAAAATATAGATTTAAGCAACCAAGTTCAATTATGTAAAATATTAATGAAATATTATACAAATATATCATTCTAAAGCCTAGTACAATACAACCATACAGAATAAAGAAAGGATCTTCAGAATTACAGCTTTGTATTAATGTTAGTTTTATAGTTTTAGGAAAAATGATCATCTTCATAAATGTCAAAATATATTTGCTTCAGTTTGACAAGCATGTCTGATTTAAAAGAGGCTCAGTATAAATTGAATACTTTTTAATAGAATAATATATATTTATTTTGAAGCAATATCAGCATCAAATCTTCTGAAAACTCAATTGAAGCATTTCTACAAGAGTTGAGGAAAGGAAGAGCAACTTTATCATTATCATTTGAGAAAGTATTTCTGATATTCTATTTAATGCTATGAGGAATAATATTTTATTTCAAAATCTATTCAATAAATTCTTATGTGAAAAATATTGCCGTGCCACATACTCCTTTAAGTATATGTATTAGCATACTTAATTCTCATTACAACCATATGAAATGGTATTGCTAAAAACTAGAAACCCCCTTTTATATACCAAAAAGAAAAAAGAGAGAGAAAATTGTCTATGGTCATATAGCTAGTAAGTGTGGTATAGCCTTCTTTCAGAGTATATATTTTCAACTAATGTGGCAATAATGGAAGTCAATTTAAAATAAATGACAGAATAAGATGTATATATATATATCTTAATATATATATTTTTAAATGAGAAAGATACATGATTTAGGAAAAAGTTGACACAGTTTGAAAAAGCAATGAAGGGAATACTCCTAACAGCAGCACTATGGTAAGTCTAAAGAACAATTAGTTTGAATTGCAGCCAATAATGGAAAGCTATTCCAGAGAAGTCATTAAGGAAGAACTTATTCAACATAGCATATGTTATGACTGATAAGACAGAAATAACACATCAGATATTGCAAAAACATCTAATTCTTTATTTAACTTGAAAAACAATAGAAATGCCAGGAAACACAAAGTCTATATAAAAAGTTACAATACAAATTTAAACAAACAATTTTTTTTTTAAGTAGCATAGTTTTCAGCCAGTAAAATCATGACCTTGATACTGCAAACCTTCTATACCCAGAAGTATCCAGGATGATGGAAATGTTCTTAGCACAATGTTTGGCTGGGCATTGTAGGTTTTCAATTATGCCTATCCATAGGTAAAATAATACAGATGCTGCTTATTGGTTTCCATGGAAGCATGGAAGACACAATTGTGATTGTAAAATACAAGATTAAACAACACATGTGTAGGCCAACGTTCTTGATAAATTTGTGAAAGTAAGAATGTAGTTGTCAGAAGGTAGGAGATAAAAGGGCAGTAATAAATGGAATAAAGCATAAGATTCCTAATATTCTCATTTGACCTGGAGGGGAGTTTAGATAGTGAATAAAAGTGGACGGAAACATAAACAGAAGTAGAAAGGTGATTATTTGAAGGAACAAAGGTCAACAATGGAGGAAACAAAAATAGTAATATAATAATCATTAAGAAGAGAAGGGCAGAAGAAAAGAGAAAATATATGATCTAAACTGCCACAAAGCATAGTGGGACAACATTAGTTATCATCTAAACCTGATAAATAAATTAAGTTTATGTAGTGCTAGGGTGGTAAAAATCAGAATCAAAATCTTGTTTAATCATTAGATTTTATCCAATTACTTGACTTGTTACCACTTTGATGAATTATGTATATTAAAATAGTGTAAATAAAAACACCATAAATAGAAATAATGTGTAAGTAATAAATTGAAAATAATGTATAGCATATGAGAAAAAAGTATTAATATTCTCAACATACGAAAAAAAATTCTTACCAACCAATAAGGAAAATAGCAAAGGGATACTTAGGTAATTCTGAAAACAAATACAAGTTGCACATAAACATAAAATTTTTCATCCTCACAAATGATCAAACATTTGAAATTACATTGAATAAATTTTACCATAACCTATCAACAAAGATGAAATGGAAAGTTAAAAAACCGGTTTTGCAGGCACTGGGGATAAATGGATACCCTCATTTTAAATTAGGTAAAAACCTCTTAGAAGTTAATATGGAATATGAATCAAAACCTTAAACTATGCGTGCCCATAGATAAAGCTATTGAATTTCTTTGTTTTGGTCCTTATAAGTATGCACCCAAAAGGGTTTCTTTACAAGAATATCTTTAGCTAATTAGCTGATTTCATTAACTTGGCAACTCTGTAAATATCCTGCAGTGTGAAATGTTATAGTTTCTCCACAAAATGGAAATCAGCCACCAAGAAGCACATTGTAGAAAACACATACATATAGGAAACATACTCATAATTCTTTGTTAAGTGCAAAAGCAGGCTGTAAAATGACATGCACTTTATAATATTCTCATGACTTTTTGTTTTGTTTTTTTAAAACACAGAATAAATATAAATATAATAAAATAGTTACATCTGGAAGTTGAAAATGTGCTGATTTTTGTTCTCTCAAATTGTCTAGAGTGAACAAAAACTAAGTATTCCCAGTCAAAATTGAGAAATACCAAAGGAAGTTTTCTGAAGAAATTCACTTAAGAATCTGCTTTTATACCAAAAAGAGAGAAAACAAACAAACAAAAATACCCCAGATAAAGAAATCTTGGATATCCTGATAGTTTCCTTGATAACAAAATAAAAACACATTTACCGTTTTCAGAATATGGAGAAATTGATATGCTCATACCTGGGGTAAATAGATACCAATAATGAATTGCATCTTTGTCCTTTCTTTCAATAAATTACTTGGGAAATTATGAGGCTTAATGACAAGTATTTTCTTTCTTCCTTTTATATAAAAAAATACAATCACTTCTGTGTATTGAGTTTAGATGTACAGACATGGGTACACTGACAGCAAAACAGTGGGGGTAGGAAAATGGAACACATGATTCTCGTTTAAGGAGAAAATATCTTTTGGTTTTGCTTCCTCTGATGTGGACCTATAACAAGAGTTAAGACAGCACCAGTCAAGATTCTGGAGTAAGATAGATAGTTGTATATATACCTAGCAGCTTTTGATACAAAACTCTTCCAAAGTTCTAATATGCATAAAAGCATAATAGGCTACAACTATCAAACATCACGGTTTTTTTTTTCTTTTTTTAGATGGAGTCTTGCTCTGTCACCCAAGCTGGAGTGCAGTGGAGCAATCTCGACTCACTGCAGCCTCCACCACCCGGGTTCAAGCGATTCTCATGCCTCGGCTTTCTGAGTAGCTGGGATTACAGGCATGTACCACCATGCCTGGCTAACTTTTGTATTTTTAGTAGAGAGGGGGTTTCACCATGTTGGCCAGGCTGGTCTCACACTTCTGACCTCAAGTGATCCACCTGCCTCGGCCTCTGAAAATGCTGGGATTACAGGCATGGGCCACCGCACCCGGCAAACCATCACAATTTTCAAAAACACTATAATTTAGTATAAGTTTTCGGGACCAGGTGATGGAATTCAGTAATTACTAAGAATCTATCTGACTCTTGAGAACTTCTTGTTTCACATTTTTAAAAAGATCTGCAATATTTTGGTAAAGCCTTAAATATTTCTCTCCACTGGAGTGTGCTGTTTACTTTTGCAGAAGGAGGAAATAATTTATTGTGGGTGGAAGAAACGAAAATGTTGTCTCTATTAAATGGGAAAAAATTATCAGAGGCCAAATTGCTCCATGTATCAGATATACAGCAGGATCTTTGCTTCCCAAATACATGCAAAGCAGTTAAATGAAATCATATCTTAAAATTCTTTAGTGTCAGAAATACAAAATAATACAAGTGAGGATAAGATGCCATTGTTTGTCTTGTATGTTTGAAATCTGTAGGCATGAGATATGGTATTACCAGATTAGAGCATTGAGTTTAATCAAATACTGGTAGTTCTAATTGTTTCTTTTGGGTGAGCCAGTCTTTTCTATTGATTCAATATATACTTAAGGTATACTTGGGCAAGTTCCGGACTTGATCTCTTTCTCTTTATTCTATCTGAAGCTATTGTTGTTGCTACTATTTTTTGTGAATCCTATTTCCTTCCCCAGAAGACCTAAATGACTCTCATTAATTTTTTTTCAGTATCCATTTGTCATCCACAGATTAGAAATATCATTTCTTCCATCTGCAAAGCCATTATTTTTACTGAAATGGAAGCCCATAGGCACCTTCTGAGAAGTAAAAGGCATGGGACTTTCCATTTTTTTCCATTTAATAGAAAACTTTAAATTCTATTTTCAAAAGATGAGCAAAGATTTTATACGAATTTGTAAGAAAAGTAATCAGCTACACACACACAAAATTTAGTAACTCATGAAGAAAGACAACTAATAGAGCAATGTATTTGGTAAAATAGACTAGGTAAAATACAACAGCATAAATCTCAATGGCTGAACTCAATACATACATTTATTTATTTTTACAAAATCTACATGTATGGGGATGACGGTGAGACTAGAAGGATAGTTATCAGATAAAGTATAGGCTCTGTAGCTAAGTTTGAATTTCAGATAAACAATGAGTATATTTTTGGCTTCAGTTTGTCCCAGATATTGCATAGGAAATATTTATAATAAAACATATTAGTTTGTTTCCATGAAATTTAAATATAACTGGGTATGTTAGATTTTTGCTACATCTGGCAACCCTAGGCATGTTTCTCTGCTAATCATAGTCATAGAGGAATTGAAGCTGATGGAGGCTCCTTCTTGAGTTACATCCCTACAGTTTACAAGGCCAAAACAGAGAGAGCAATGAATCGTGCATGGTGAATTTATGATAGGCATAAATTCCTCTTATATTTCATTGCCCAAAGCAAGTTACATAATCACATTTAACTTCAAGAAGAGAAGACCTCCAGGCTGGGCAACATGGAGAACCCTATCTCTTCAAAAATACAAAAAAATAAAAACAAAAAACCTGGCACTGTGGCATATACCTGCAGTCCCAGTTCCTTGGGATGCCGAGGTGGGAGGATTGCTTTAGCCTGGAAGGCAGAGGTTGCAGTGAGCAGAGATCGGGCCACTGCACTCCAGCCTGGGCAATAGAGCAAGACCCTGTCTCACAAAAAAACAAACAAACAAACAAACAAACAAACAAAACATACAATCCTACTATGTCTCTGTAAGCAGAACACCCAAAGAGTACTACTGACTTCCTAATGTGCTCTGTTTTCCCAATCTCAGTGTTGAATTCTCCTACCTGTTTCACTGGCTGGAGATTTCTGAAAGGATTTTAAAGTACAGGAATGTATGTTAGTTTAAACCAGGGATCTCACTGAATTTCAGCATGAACATTTTGCCTTTTTGATTTTTAAACCCTTAATAGGAATTATAGATACCGAAGACCACTATCATTGAAGAGCAGATGGAAACTTTGATTTGCAGAAAGTGGAATCCTCAATATACTTTTGTTGCGGAATATTTTAGTTTTTCTAGGAAATGGAACGCAAAAGAACCCTTTTGCCTTTGAAGTACAAAATGAAATTATAATTAATTAGAATTAAAATTGGAGAAATTCACGTTTGTCTACACAGTAGGCTGCTAACTAAAATTATTATTTTCAGTTAAATATTTTAGTTAGTAGCTACTGGTTTAGATGATAAATTTTAATATGTTGACATTTTATCTTGAAACTTCTGAATTATTTGTTTATTCCAAATGGTTTGTTAGCTATTTTGAGAGACGAATATTCTGTATTTTTCTATAAGCACTCATAGACATTGTGTTAGTAGCCCACAGGTAGGTCACATCAAGGAGCATTGAATCTTTCTTGTCTATTATAAAAAGGAATATCATGTTGGTAGAATGTTCTCACTGATGTTAGGTCAATGGTCCTGCCTCAGCCTCCTGAGTAGCTGAGACTACAGGCACACACTATAACATCTGGTTAATTTTTGCATTTTTAGTAGAAACGGGGTTTTACCATGTTGGTCAGGCTGGTCTCGAACTCCTGGCCTCAAGAGATCCACCCACCTTGGTCTTCCAAAATTGCTAGGATTACAGGTGTAAGCCACTGCACCCAGCTAACAGCGATTTTTTTTTAATGAAACTACATTATTAAACTTAAGGTACAATAGTGGGCTTTTGCTTCTTTTTTGACAGTCCTGAGGGCTACTTTTGCCATACTTTCTATGGAATAAAGTGCTTTTTGCTCTTTGGACTGTCATTTAAAGTAAGTCTTACATTTGACAAGGAGGATGAGCACAAGTGTCTAGACCATTATCTAGAGGCCTAGATAAACAATTACAGTTCATGACGGGGCATTTGGACCTCTTCATGGAAGCATGTAATTCATTGCCATGAAATAAAACAGTGGTGCAAAGATGTTAACTCTGTGGCTGCATTATAAGTTAATCTGTAGCAGTCAGTGGAAGATGAAGACTAGACGTGTATCGGAAACCAATGGCTGGTTCACAGTCAAGAAATGTCCACCTACACCAATGTCATGGAGCCTTTTCCCTATACGTAAGACCTGAAACTGTAAAACTTCTAGTAGTTTACAGGAGCCTTTTATCTGTACGTAAGACCCTAAACTGTAAAACTACTAGAAGTTTTACAGTTCCAAGTCATACAGTTAAATCTTTAATTCATTTTGAGTTGATTCTTATATAAGAGGTAAGATAAGGGTCCATTTTTATTCTTCTGTTTGTGAATTTCCAGTTTTCCCAACTTCATTTATTGAAGGGACTGTTCTTTTCTCATTGTGTATTCTTGGCAGCTTGATCCAAAATCATTTGACTGTAGATGTATAGTTTTTTTCTGGGCTCTCTATCTTATTCCATTGGTTGATGCTGTGGCTTGAATATTTTTCTCCTCCAAAATTCATGTTGAAATGTAATCCTCAATGTGACAAAATTGAGAAGAGGAGGACTTTAAGAGGTAATAGGATTATGTGGACTCCGCCTTCATGAATGAATTGATCCATTCATGGATTAATGGGTTACCATGGAAGTGAAACTGGTGGCTTTATAAGAGGAAGAGAGATCTGAGGAGAGCACATTAGCATACTCAGCCTCCTTGCCATGAGATACTCTGCACCACCTCGGGACCCCATAGATAATCCCCACCAGCAAAAAATGCTCTCATTAGACAATGTTATATAACCTTATACTTCTAAGCTTCCAGAACTGTAAGAAATAAACTCCTTTTTAAATAAATTTCTGTTAATGGTATTCTATTATAAGCAACATAAAATTAACTAATATAGTTGATGTGTCTGTTTTTATGCCAGTGTCATGTTTTGATTACTATAGCTTCATAATGTATTTTGAAATCTGGTAGTTTAATGCCTCCAGCTTTGTTCTTTTTGGTCAAGGTTTCTTTGAATATTCAGGGTTTTCTTGTGGTTTTGGAATTGTTTTAGAATATACATTTTAGAATTTTTTTTCTATTTCTGGGAAGAATGATGTTGAAATTTTTATAGGCATTGCATGGAATCTATATATTGCTTTGCGTATTGTGGAACTTTTAACAATATTAATTCTTCTATTCCATGAACACATGATGTTTTTCTAATTCATGTCATCTTGCTCCTAAGTATTTTTTGATGCTATGTAAATTAGAGAAACGCAAATTAAAATGACAAAAAGATATCACCTCATACCTATTAGATTGACTATTATCAAAAAGAGAAAAGCATCAGATTAGCAGCATTAAACTTTAGTGGTGAACATGCCATAGTTTGCTTAATTAGAGACAAAGTTAGAGATAGATGTAGTTATCCAATTCAGCTGAGTATTTGTGCATTCAATGGATGTACGTTCATGTACACGCAATGACATTTCTATCAACAATGGACCCCATATATGACAGTAGTCCCATAAAATTATGATTCTATATTTTTACTGCATCTTTTCTATATTTAGATACACAAATATGCATATACATAAATACCTGGTGTAATTGTGTTATAGCTGCATACTATATTCAGTACGGTGACATGCTATAAATATTTAGATCCTAGAGACACTAGGCTTTACCATATAGCCAGGGTGTGTAGTAGGCTACACATAGGTTTGAGTACCCTTTATGATCTTTGCAAAACAATGAAATCACCTAACACATTTATCAGATCATATCCCAGTTGTTAAGTGAGCTATGGCTCTATCTATTCTATTCAATGTGCAATAGAAACTTTAATACTGTTAATAAGAATAAGATAAATTTTATTAGTATACTTTTTGAAAGGCAAAAATATCTTTCTGTTGCTCACCTAAAGAAGCTTGACTGATATGCCAAGTTTCCTTTTAAAACCACCAGGCAACAGTTATAATAATTACTGACCACTTTCTTGACCATAAAGCTCCTGTTTTGTTTTTTAACTTAACCTTATGTGGTACTGTATATTAAGAGAATATATGCAATAAAAATTTCCCTTAAAGGAGTAATAACCCCTAAGAAGGTAATAAGGCTAAAGACCTAATCACAATCTTAAATATATCAGAGTGATTGTACCTCCAGAGTTACTAATATCTCTAGCTGTATTAGGTCATTCTCTAATTTTGGAAAGACTATGAAAGGTGAGTGACCTCAGAGAATTACATGGCATGACACATCCCGTCCCATTCCCATCCTATTTGCAGAGATGGGTTTCATTAAATGTTACCAACAAGTAATATATGGGACTTGCCAATGGAGATCCCAGGGAGGAAATTTAGGTCTCTCGTTGAGAACACCAGACATCCCTGAGGCTAAATGACAGATGTCCTACCAGTTCAGAGTGAGCTGCCACCGTTGCTGCAGCTGGCTGATTCCTTAGCACTTTTCAGCAGGTTTTATCATGTGGTCAACAATCCCTAGTCTTACGCTTGCAGGTTTGCCTAAGCATAAACTGAGCTAACAAATTCTTAATTAGCCTTTAGCACCCTTAGTAGGCCTAATGCCTTCTCCCTTGCTAGGATCTTTGGGGTTAAAAATGAAAATTAGGGTCTGTTTTTTCTTATTAAGCACAAAATTATTAAAAGTGGCATACTGAATTTGGATTAAAACTGTCCAGGAAGGGGTGGTGACATCAGCAGAGAATCTGGCATAAATAATTCCAGGGGTTCCCTCTGTCATCATAACTGAGGTATTTGTCTGTATTGTTTTGCATTGGTGGGTCTGTTCCCCCGAGTTCTTAAATTGGAGTCTATGAATTGTTTCTTTCAGAAAGAGATATACCTTCACTGACTGGCTTTGAGCTGAGTATTAGTAACACAGAGCCAGGTTACTCCAGGTCAAAGTCAACAAGAATTCTACACTACATGCAACTGGTAGAGGATGGACTCACCCACATTCTGCCAGTGGTTAGGTGAAGCTGGTTAGAGTTCCATATGGGTAAGATATCCTTCTTTTAGTGGTTTTATTACCATTGAAGCCAACAGAAGCTCTGCCATGGAAATTTAAAAGAGGCTCAATATAAGCCCACACTGCAGGTGAGTCACCAACTAAGAGTAAAAATGTTTTGTGTTGGCCGTAGCGTCTGATGTTGTCCACCTAAAAGATCCAGAAACCCTCTCAGACCCACATTAGGAATGCAAGCTCCCTGACCTAAGACATTCTCAGCTTGAATAAACTTCATACAGGCTTTTTCCTGCCTCTAGGGTCCTGCCCTCCCTTTTCTTAGAACACATATTTTAGATAACTTTTCATTGTGGAAAAAAGATTTGTATCTCTTCCCCTCTGAAATGCAAGTCTGTTTTTTTAAGCTTCTTGCATTTTACAAGGCAGGAATAGCTTTCTCCAGGACCTAGCATCTGTTCCTTTCAAATGCAATCATTAAGGAAGATAGTTCCTCTATGTCTCAGTTTCTATGGAAAGGTAGGAGCATTAACTTCTATCTTGGGCAGGTGCCTTGCTGCAATGTGTAAAACTGTCTCCCGCCAAGAAGATCAGAAAAAGTTTACTTTTCCTTTGGATAAAGCCAGTTAGTAAACACAGGTGGCCTAATGTTCCTCTACCCTACTCTTAAAGAAAACCCCTTTAACCTTTTGTTTAAGTGGAGTTGAGCTCAGACTGAATCTGGCTTCTTTCTTCATTGCAATTGTCACGAATAAAGTCTCCTTTGCCTGTTTAATTGGCTCTGTGCCATCTTTCCTTTGACAGACCCCTTCACATTAGTGGAGCATTATGATTTGGTTTAGATAATACAGTTTGAGCAGAATTAATGTGGTTCTCTTCTGTATAAAAATTTTAGATTTTTCGTTCTTTCTCTCTGGGAATTAACATTGTTCTAGTTGATGACAATTCCATCAGTCTGGGTCACACGATGAGGATGATGTACAACAGAATCCTTAGGTGATGACAAAGAACAAGTGTTTTAAGTGAGGCATTAAATTATATGCTAAGGCACTGAGATTTAAGGGTTGTGATACCATACCACGTACCTTTTCATATCGTAATTGCTGTAGTTTTGTATAACTCTTTGCTGTGGTTTAGATTTTACCTCTCCAAAACTCATGTTGAAATTTGATCCCTGATGTTGGAGGTGGGGCATAATGGATGTATTTGGGTTATGGGGGCAGATCCCTTATAAACAGATTAATGCCCTCTCTGGGGGTGAGTGAGTTCTTGCTCTATGAGTTCCTGCAAGAGCTGATTTTTAAAAATAGCCTGGCATCTCCTCCCTCTCTCTTGCTTCCTCTCTTGCCATGTGATCTCTGCACACTAGCTCCCCTTAACCTTCCATATGAGTGGAAACAGCCTGAAGCCCTCTCCAGACGCAGATGCCAGTGTCATGCTTCTTGTGAAATCTTCAGAACTGTGAGACAAAAAAACCTCTTTTCTTTATAAATTACCCAGCCTCAGGTATTCTTATAGCAGCACAAAAACAGACTAAGGTGCCCTTGGAATGGAGAAAGTTGAGCCATTTGGATCCTATATGGACTATGTCGGAGTAATTAGCCCGCTTTAAATGTGCCTCACCTGGTTTGTTTGAAACATCTATTGAAAGCTGAGTGTTGTTTTTGAAAAAGAAACACTTCATATGACATTCTTTTGCAGGCAAATTTGCTTGAGAAGTTTGATCAGAAAGCAAGAAATAGAAACAGACACATATTGGAATAGGTTCTCAAGCTATTTACCACCACCAAAGGAATCAGAAATGTAATGGAGGTAGCTTCAGTAAAGAGGAAATAGCCTCAGTCCAACACTTTGAAGTTACTCCCCAGTGTAATGCTATTTTACTTCCCCCTAAGATTCAGTATGAACTTGTTAAATGTTTCAGTATATTTAGATCCATAGAAATAAATTGAGACCAAGTTCTGTGTTTGTGACAAGTGGTCACAATGGTAGCAAAAGATTGGAAAGTTTAATTGTAGTTTCACAAATGTGGGACCAAAACTGGGAGTGGTCTGGTCAGTAATCCATAGAAAAGCAGGGTGACATGCAGAGTCAGGGGACACTGGGTCAAAACCGCTGTATAGACTCATGTATTTACTTGAATTACCTCTCTGTAATTCCTTTGAAATATTACACAGGAATAGAAATTTAGAAATTGGCACTAAATTTTGCTATCCTATTGGAGAGATTAATGCTATAGATTTGAAGTTTAAATGATAATGTTACCGGGGGTCCTTGCTCCCAGAGCTCCCAAGATGGTGTGGGCCACTTCCAAAAAGGTGGCAAGCCTCGTGTTCTCTGACCTGGGGTTCTTGGCCTCACGGATTCCAAGGAATGGAATCTTGGGCCATTTGGTGAGTGTTATAGCTCTATTAGAAGTCGTGGGTCATGGAAGACAACCGTGGAACCCAGTGACTAGTGTTCAGCTCGATTAGGATGAACCCAGGCACTTAGCCATGCAGGAACGATGGCAAGCCTTTAGCCCAATCGGAACGGCAATGGGCGCCTCACTGGATCAGGAGCCCAGCCCACACTCTGCTGGATCCGGAGGGATGGAAGTCAGCGGTGGGTCTGCAATGGCGACAAAACAGCAGTGGTGGACAGCAAGTGAAAGCTCAGCTCGAGCCATTACAAACACGGACCAGAAGAGCACAGTTGCAAGATTTAATAGAGTGAAATAGAGTGAAAACAGAGTTCCCATACAAGGAGGGGACCCAAAGGGGGTTGCCATTGCCGGATCAAATGCCTGGGTTTATATCCCGATCCTTGTCCCTCCCGCTGTGCTCTCAGGCAATAGATGATTGGCTATTTCTTTACTCCTGTTTTTGCCTAATTAGCATTTTAGTGAGCTCTCTGATTGGTTGGGTGTGAGCTCAGTTGCAAGCCCCGTTTTTAAAGGTGGATGCAGTCACCTTGCCAGCTAGGCTTAGGGATTCTTAGTCGGCCTAGGAAATCCAGCTAGTCCTTTCTCTCAATAACAAGACTTGTACCTCTTAGTCGAGCTCTGGCTACCTTTGTGTCGATGCATTGTAGTTGTGAGTTGGGCTATGAATGCAGTTGATATTAACGGATTCCCTATACTATTAGTGCTGAATTAAGAAAAACACCTATTTTGACCCAAATCATCCAGATTAGCTATTGTCATTGCCACAAATGTACAGGTTCTTCCTTATTATGCCTATGTTTATAAGGCTTAACAATGTGTAATTTTAGTTAAGTCCCATACTTTGGGAAAAGAGTGATGGTTAAGACATCTCTCCACCTTTTTATGCTCCAGAACCAGCTGGACTGTATTAAAACCCACTTTCACCCTTTACCTTCTGACTTAGATAAGACTGCCTCCAGTCTTCCTCAGATTTCCCCCCTTTTTTTTGAGTTGTCACTTAGTAATGAACATTTTCTCTATTGCAATTGCCTTAATAAAAACATCTCCTTATTCTTCAGGACATCTTGTCTTGACAATCTTTTACTTGAGTAATACATATAATTTTTTTAAAAAAATTCAGTTTCCCCAAACTGATACTAATTGTCAACCATAGCTAATATTCATTCTGGTAGGTAAGGGAATATGAGTATTTTCCAACCTGGAGTCAGATTATCTTCAAGAAACTTGTTTAAACTCTACATATTTTATAATAATATTCAGCTGGTTACATGGAAACATATTAGTCATGTATTAATAGCAGATAACAGAACATACTCTATGTAATCCAAAATGTATGTACATTTACATAGATAGGTGCATGCAGGTACATATATATGATGTATGCATGTACATACACACACATAGACACATACAAAGAAAAGGCAAATCTGGAATTATCTATGCTTAAATGTAAATAGTGATGGTTTTCAATGTATATGTCTACTTTTTGAACTCCATGCAAGTGAGCAAATAAATAAATGATGTGAAAATATATTTGAAAATGTGTTATCTATACCATTATATCTATTATGGGTCAGTATCAATTATTGCAATTTCTTATCATTTATATGAATATTATGTGTTATTTCTATGCCTAATTATTTAGTCATAATACTTTTTCAAAAATAATTTGGTATAAATGTAGTATTTTTGTGAATGGGTAGACTAAGAACCTATTTCAACTGAATTGTGTGGAAAAAGGTGTATTTCTAAGAGGACACATAATTATAATAGGTATAGCAAAGCTGCAGTATTTCTATCATTGCTGAAGCAAGTCTCTGTAAAATCTTTTACATTTAATATCTATGTAATGTTCATCATAATTCTAGGTTTGTTTTTACAAATAGTGACCCTGAGTTTTAGAGCAGGAAAGAAATTATTTATCAAAATGCTAATATTTGATGCTGGAATTCTGACTCAGAACTATTTGATCCATGACTCTATTTTTTCTAGTATATCATGCTGTTCTTATTATATACTACGGAGCTAATCAAGATAATTATCTTAAAAATTACCAGATTATCTATAGTTCTTTATTAAAAATTGATGAATTTTTCTCATTTTCCCTTTTATTACCCAATATGATTTACATTTAAATATTACAAAACTATTTCTGACTATATTATCTCAGATGCTTCTTAAAGAGTTCTTTGTTCTAATTAGTCCGAATCAGATTAAGTGGTTTAATAATGCTGAACTAATCTAGAAGAATTCACTTGGAGTAATATATATAGTACATAAATAACAAATATTTTAGCTAGGTGTCACACTATTATATAGCAATTAGCATAATGCACATGTTGTAAGGTAAAACATTGACTTTATGTAGAGCTTCACATTAAAAAAAACACTGCGAACAACAGAACAAGTCTATTTCATTTTGTTATTTACCGTATTTATTTCATTTCTCTATGGAAAAGAGTAGCTTTGGGGAAGTTTTAAGTCGATTATCTGTTTTTAATCATGTTAGTTTTCTAATCAAATCTAGCACATATATACATATACCACTATGTATGTATAATTTTTTGTTTGTATGTAATATTTAGTGACAAATCTGAATAAATCAAGATTTATAAGCATTTTTCCCATTTTGGTAATTTTTAAAAATTACAGCTTGACTAAAATGAATTTTGAAAATAATATGATAATTTTAAGAAATGCCTTTGAAAATGAAACCTATATCTAAACTATCTGTAGAAAGCAATATGCTTGGTTGTGTTTAGGATTATCCTTTTAGATCTAATCAGTCAAGTGTTATTACTATATATAAAATGCACATCTGGAATTAATGAGATGTAGACTGGCAGAAGGCGGCCAAATCAGTAATGTATTCAGCATGCAACATATTTCAGGCTATCCTTTTTTTTTTTTTTTTTTTTTACTGAATGTCTCTTCTTCACTTCCTAAAATTCAATCTAATAACCTTTCACATTTAAGATAAAAATGTCAGCATTTGAGAAGTGAGTAGAAGAAAAATCTGTTATTTGTCTGTGACCAGATGAATTAGCCTTGCTGAGGATCATTTCTGGGTGCTAACTAGGTTATGGCTCATCTTCATTTGTCATTCTCTGACTATGTGGTGACCTATTCAAAGACATCATGTAAACCTTATTTACTGCTTTGCTATAGATCACTCATGGGCTTATGAGCTACATCAGGGGTTATAAAACATGTCTGTGTCAGTGTCATATGCTAATGGCATTATTTAACCCAAGCTTAACATTTGCACACCCCATCAATTGAGGGGAAAGATTAAATAATTCTTTTAGTACAAAGAGGTTACAAGTTTCTGGGACAACATACCTCATTAATAAATCAACTCCCCACCAACTATGTGAAGGAAATGTGAAGGCCAGGGACAGAGGCTGCATTTGAAGGACACTTTTTAAGATTATATAACTGTGCCTGTGACTTGTTTGAAGACCTGTTACTACAGATATGTGAGGTTCAGACAACAATGTACCATGATGCATGGGAAAGTCTTCATGCTGCTGACTCTTAGACAAAAACCATTCATTTTATTCTTCTATGGAGAAGGGTCTCTCAATGACTACTTTTCTGTTCTTTAGTGCTTGAGAAGAGTATGCATTACATGAGTATCCAAGAAAAGTAAGAATCTAGGAGCTTTACGTTTTCCAGTCCAAACCAAACAGGACTCTTAACAAGATGGAAAGTTGGGCTAGGGTGTCCTCTATTGTCTTTTCCACTTGTTACTAAAGTGCTGTCCAATTTTTAAACTCAAAAGCATGAAAAGTCTTCTGGTTTCTGAATTGGAAAGATTTCCAACACAGCAATAAAGACTAACCTACAGCTACCATTTATTTGTTTATTTCTGAAAAGAGAATTTTCACAATTTCTGAGTAGGTTTAGATATAGAGGTAGTAAGTGTAAGATAGAAGGAACACAGAGAAGAGAAATGGAGGAGGAATAGTGTTTTATTTTTTTCAATGTATAATGTCATTATGAAGAGATTCATGTAGGTAGCTTTTGCAGCTTGGCTCAGGGCTAAGTGAAATCTCTCCTGGTAATTAGTGAGAAACTGATCCAGACTTGCATACCTAACTTCATATATATTTTCTCTAGCTTTGACTTTTTGAACTATTATTTCTTTCTTCCTCTATTTACTAAGCCCCTCTCCTCCACCACTACCTTTACACCATTTCTGGGTTTTGAGAATTAGCTATTCTCATCATATATATATATATATATATATATGTATGTATATATGTGTGTGTGTGTGTGTGTGCCTGTGTGTGTATGTTATATAGCTTTGTATTACAGAAAAAAATCGGTGCCCCTGTGGTAGTCTTATCCAAAATGAAAATCTATGAAAACTCAAGCCAGGAAATATCACACTCCTGTTCTTTTTCCATTCTTCTCTGGTTTTTAAATTCATTTCAGTTCAATTTCTTTTTCCTTATTGTGTTAGCCTAACTATTAATACTATTCTCTGACTAGTATTTCAATGTCATAGCACCATAGCTTTATGCATTTAAGATGGTTCAGGGGCTAGGGGAAAAATTTTGAGAAGCTCAGATTTAGGAATGAAATTGCCATGTCTTATAACGAAATCATCCAAATTATTGAGGCATCAACTAAAGAGTGAGGGGAAAAATCAAATGCAACATAAGGTAATCGATCATATGCCCAGAATCTGTGTTAGGCATTTTATTTTTCTAGATAATTGAGCTTATGAGGAAAGGAATATGCACTGGAAGATATTGTCATCTTGCAGAGTTTTAAGCTCCAGTAAGTTAACTAATATACATTTAATGGTCTATTTCTTTGCAGAGAAGAAGAATATCTAATTCTTAAAACCCAGAAATGGTGTAAAGGTAGTGGTGGTGGAGAGGGGCTTTGTAAATAGTGAAAGAAAGTAATAACAGTCCAAAAAGTCAAAGCTAGAGAATATATAGGATATATGGACAGTTCAATTCAATTCAGAAACTTTTATACTTTCACTGGGCGATCATACGAGGACATTATTAGCAGAGAAAAACTCAATAAACTTTTGAATAAAAACATATATACACAACTAAAAACTGTATTAGAAATGTACATTCAGCCCTCTGTATCTGTGAGTTACGTATTGATGGATTCAATCAATGGGAGATTGAAAATATGCAAGTCAAAAAATGAGAAAAATATCAATACAACAATAAAAAATAACAAATAAAATGATACAGTATAACAACAATTTCCATAATATTTACCTTGTATTAGACATAGAAGTACCCTAGACATAACTTGAAATATACAGAAAGATGTGAATAGATTATATACAAATACTATTTCATTTTGTGTAAAGGACTTGAACATCACAGACTTTTGCACCCACAGGGGTCCTGGAACCAATCCCCTGCAGATACCAAGAGACAACTGTATACAGAAACTAGCTTTTCTGTGACTATGATGGAATGTTATAAGTACATATTGATATGTACGTAAGTACTTATGTTGATGTGTTCATTTTGCAGTTTGAGTCTTTCCATAAATCATTTCAATTGCTTAGATATAATATTCAAAGACTCTGGAGTTTTTGTTCAGGTATAAACATTTCATAACAACTTGGTTTGTAACAAAAAATAAACAACATAGCATATAGATCCAAATAGATGAGTGAGTTCCAACTTATTAGAAATATGTGAGATGTAGTGCGTGAAACCCATTCTACACTGTAGATATTAGCGAATGAATGATAGGTTTTACTGCTGTTTGGCTATCTTAGAAGCTGTACATTTTCTCACATTATTTGCTTCCATATTGCAGATCAGCAGATTAAACAATTGCATGTAAGCATGTATACATTTGAGTTTCTCCCACTCTTAACGTTCATTCATAACAAAATGAGAGTTTATTAACATAAGTAAACTAAATGATCACACATTATGTCCTATAATAGCAGTTGATTTATAAGGAAATGAAACTTACAAACAATTTTATTCTTTAAAATATCCATTTTCATCAATCATGTGTCTGGATACACTAGAATAATTTTAATCATGTAGCCTATCTGAAGCTTCTGCTATATGTTCTGCTAACATCTAACGTCCCAGTTCTTTGATAAATGAAAGGCCATTAGTCATGAAGTATTCTGTTCTAAAATCAAGCCTTAGCTGGAATCTGAACTCTTTTATTTTATCTGGAACTCAGCATAATATCCATAACAGTTTTGCTTCAGCACCTTCTTCTGTATCACTAACATATATTTTAAAAAATCTTACCGCTTTATTCTCCAAGCAAAAAAGTTGTATCCTAGAAAATCATTGTTTCTTTTTAAAAACAGTTTACTGATATATCATTGACATATTTAAGGAAATCATTACCTCTTGTTCTCTTCCATCAAACAAAAACCAGATGAAAAAAAAATGGCTGCTACTATTAAAAGCTGAGAGCAAGCTCTGTTTTCTGGAATTCTTAACAACACAAAAAATCATGATATTACACTAGTTGTGAATTCATAGTCATTATATGAATTATATAATGTAATGGAAGTCCATATTTCTAATTCTTTTTCTTTTGCTTAGATCATTTGTTTATCCCAGTATTATTGATATAAAAACATAACTCACCTTAATTTTCCTAAACTTGGGCAAACTCCCACCAACACATACACAAGCATATGTATCTTTAGCATTCCAATTCACCCCTCTTTCCACTTTCAGTACTTCTCTCATTATTTGCCCCCTTAACTCACATTTCCTTTGTTTGTCATCATTGTGATTTCTTGGAGTTTTCAAACTTTGATGCACTTTCTAATGGTCTCATATTCACCAATCCTTATTTCCATAATTTCAGGTCAAAATTTATCCTTCTGCAACCTTGAGCATTGCATCCATTTGTTATTCATTCAATATTTATTATACCTATTATAATCTGAATAATGTTTAACTTCTTGCAGCAAATTCAATGTATTTGGTAAATTAGATCTTTGGGGGATTATACAATAGTATAGAAAATAAAACAGGCTAATATGACCTTTTTTGAATCTCCTATACCAGTGATTTTTAGCCTGATCAGAGACACACACCTTTTTTAAAAATTTTACATCTTGAGATAAAATCCATAGACAATACAGCTTCTTGGTCTCATAAAAAATTAATGCAATGTTTTAACTTTGATGAAAAAGAGAAATAAAATGAAATAAAGATAGAATAAAACAATTTGTGTTTTAATACATAAATGCTCAACATTACTATTCTTCAGAAGACAATGGAGCAGTCAGATGCTCATGTATAAGCAGACTCACTTGGAACTTAAAAATTATGAATGCAAACTGATATTGGTGTTGGTATTAAATTGGCAGCTCTAATGCACAAGTAAATAGTTCACAAGTATACTAATAAACAAGTAACACTGTCATCGATGATATTTTCTACAATAGTGTACAATTCCCAAAAAAGCCTGGAATAACATTATCTAAAATAGTACAACTTTTAATTCATTTCTTTGAAAAGCTCAGTATGTATTAAAACTGCGCTATTTCTTTGAAGGTGGCTGTGAGAGTCTAGGGAAAGGATAGCAACAGAAATTCTATTGATCAGCAATCTCTAAGTCTCTAGAAACAAAAATATACTTAATAATCTTTCTGAAATCCTGTTGATTCTGGTTTATTCTAAAATGGAGCCTATTCTAGAACTTTTAAACTGAGTAATATAATATTTTATATTTCCTTTGTTTGTTTTTTTAGAACCTCTTTATTTTTGACAGTATAAACAAAACTTCAGTTACAACATAATAAACATACATGCAGTCAATGTATTCACAATCCAAAAAATTAGACCTCTGAATTAAAATTTACATTTTGCCTTAAATATTTCAAAACCCATTGTAGTCAACTTTGTAATTTTACTCTTGCTTGATACTGTGGCATTTCCCTTAAGGGTAAACTTGGATCAGTAGCCAGATTCGTAAGTTTTGCTGTTCAACCATTTTTCTTGATCCTTGCCCTCCGATTCCACACACTCTAGACTGCTCAATGGATTTGTAATAAACTTCCAAAATGAAGGGAAATTTCTTACTCATTGTTTGCCTGAAATCTTGGCTTGTGTTCATCTTATTAAACACAAAATATGATCCCCAAATGCCAAGTTCTGCTACTAAAACTCCTTTAAAGCTATTTCCCAGTGGTTTTATAGTGTGGGTCATACCAAAAGATGCATATGCGATACTGCACAAGATATCTATTTCCTTTTTGAATACAGAAAACAAAATGTAAAAGAAAATGTAAGTAATTAATGTATATATTTGCCACATTCTAAATAAAATTAATATACATTATAATTTGAAACATTCAGTAATTTAACATTTGTTTTTTGAGTGTCTACTGTATTTCAAACTGATCTAGAATACTCTTAAAGAGATGAGTCCTATTACTATATTTGGAGCCAACAGTGGATCACACAGGGTCAGAAACTAGTGTTTTCTCAAGAAAACAATGCAAATTTACTTCTTTTTCTGGACAACATATCTATCAAACACCAGAAAGCATAGATAATAACTTCAATGTTTTAATTATTACAAGTTAGTTCCATTATTCTAAGTACATAATTGTCAACATTTAAAAAAATATATTTAAATAACAAGAACTTCATTTCCAAGACAATGTTATAGGCACACAGAGTTATACAGCCACAGTATTTATAGTAAATGCTTTAATAGTGGAGTGCATACTGGACAGTTTCTATTGAACTCCTGTAACCATCCTCTGAATAGACTCAAGGCTGTTATATGCCAAGGTAGCTCTTGTAATATAATTTAAACAAAACAAAACACTTTCAAAAGTTACTTTTTAAAGAACATTCAGCTTACTAAGTTGCATCAGTTTTTTTGTGTTATAAATAGATGCTGCTTTCAATTTACATCTGACAAACATTTTCAATACTATTCATAATGAAATTCACACAATCTTTTCTGAACTGAAGGTCAGCAGCTTTGTTGAAGTTTGCAGTTGAGCTCCTCAAGAAAAATGTGACTGCAATGAGGACTGCATATTTCATTACATAATTATAATTAATAAAATTACCGAAGGTTAAAATAGTATTTCTTCTGTCATATATGCCAGTGCAGTGTTAGATTCTATTAGGGAACATTTTGAAAATCAATGTCATTGCTTTGCTAATTTAGTTAAATTCTTATTTTTATTAGGCTCACCATGAAGACTGCTCCTCTCTTCACAACTTTTCCTCAAACTTTTGGCTTTCAGAGGCATTCACAGGCATTCACTCTTCCACTGTGGTTCCCTTAGGGTATGAATCCCAGCATGTATCTTTCTTGGCTCTTATCTAAGATTTAGTTTTACAAATGGCAAAAAAAATTATCCTTTTTTAGACAAGTGGCCTCAAAGCATACACATGGAAATGAAATAGCAAGTCATTCTGAATAAGAACTTCTGTCTGAGGAATTCAAGCACTGAATCTTCAAGATCTAGACCCTGAAAAAGCAAGTCAGATGTTTGAAACCAAGAACTTTCATCTTTTAATCCCACACGCTGTTTGAGAACTCTAAGAAGGCTATTTATTTGGGGGCATTGTCCTTTTCAATATGATAAGATTAAGCTGTTTTTACAGAAACAAAAATGGAAAGAAAAACATTTAATTACATGATTAGGTTAGAATGAGACAGAAATAAATTGTTTAGAAATGCAAACCTTCATTTAAATGCAACAACTATTCGGTAAATATGCTGCTTGATAGGCATCTCTGCTCTGGGTGCTGAGAGAGTTAATACGCATTTTATTTAGGAACAGAAGACCACAAGTGATAATTTTTATAGCTGGGGTTAATTTTTAACTTGGAGTGAGAAGACATGAACTCCTACAATAAATAAATTCTATATGCTTTAATAAAACATTACTTTAACCTTGCTATAGAGAGGTCAGGGTTAAATGAGCATATATTATTTTAAAGGATGAAGCAGAAACAATGATGGATGTGTATCTGTTCTCAAGGTATTTCCATTGTAAAGAGAAAGAGACATGGACACATATTTTCAGCTCAAGGAATTACAGAAGTTCTGAATAGGAAGATAGTGTTCCTGTCAGGAGTGTTACAAAAAAAATGCGTTTTTACCAAAAACAGATTTCATAATATGATATGAAGAATAGATCACAACAATCAGAAGTAAAAGTGGGTACAAAGGAATGAATCATTGTCCCATCCATAATTAGAAAATAAAATGATAGATGTAAATATGTTTATAGTAGAAATTGAATTATGTAATAAAGTTGACATTTTGAAAGAACAGTAGGACAGGTGGTTATTATATACTTTTTTGAAGATTGGTAAAGAGTCCAGTCCAAGTAAAAAGAATTTAAAAGGAGCAGAGCAAGATGGCTGAATAGAAGGATGCAGTGATTGCCCCGTCCCTGTAAGGACACCAATTTAACAACTATCTACACAAAACAATCAAATTTGTATGAATCAAAAATCAAGTGAGCACTTATAGCACCTAGTTTTGACTTCACATCACTGAAAAAGGCATTGAAGAGGACAGAAAAGACAGTCTTGAATTGCTAACACCACTCCTCCACTATCTCCTGGCAGCGGACCCATGGCACAGAGAGAGAATCAGTGCTTTGGGGAGAGGGAGAGTGCAGCAATTGTGAGACACTTCATTGAAACCAGTGCTCCCCTGTCACAGCAGAAAGCAAAATCGGATTGAACTCAGCTAATGCTGACTCTAGTCCCTGCTTTCCAGATGGTACCTCTGGGTGCACCAGGAGCCTGGGGTAATTTGCTACCATGAAGGGCAAGACACAAGCTTGGCTGGCACTGCCACCTACTAAATGTAGAACCTCAGTGCTTTCAGCAAACATAGGTGGTAGCCAGGCAGTGGTTTCAGTGAGCCTTGGATGGGACCCAGTGCTCTGCTGGCTTCAGGTCTGACATAGGACATACCCAATGATGGTGGCCACAGAAGTGCTTGTGTCACCACTAATCCAGATTCAGGTGGCTTAAAACAAAGACTTCATTTATTTGGGAGAAAGTCAGGGAAGAGAACAAGAGTCTCTGCCTGGTAATTCAGATATTTCTTCTGGATCTTGTCAAAGACCATCAAGGCAGTGCCTCTATGAATCTGCACAGCCCAGCATTACGGGGCTTGGGGTGCCCCCTAAAGCAGACTTAGATGACAACACCCAAGTCCTTTTGAATACCTAAAAAGCCTTCTCAAGAAGGATGGATAAAAACAAGCTCAGAATGAGAAGACTACAATAAATACCTAACTCTTCAATGGTCAGTCACAGACGAACACTCATAAGTACCAAGACTATCCAGGAAAATATGACCTCAGCAAATGAAATAAATGAGGTACCAGGGACCAATCTTGGTGAAACAGAGATATGTGACATTTTAGATAGATAATTTAAAATAGCTATTTTAAGGAAACTAAAAGAAATTCAAGATTACACAGAGAAGGAATTCAGAATTATACCAGAAAAATTTAACAATGTCATTGAAATAAGGTTTTAAAATCAAGCAAAAATTCTGGAGTTGAAAAATGCAATCAGCATACTGAAGAATGCATCAAAGTCCTTTAATAGCAGAATTGATCAAGCAAAAGAAGGAATTAGCGAGCTTGAAGACAGGCTATAGGGGAATACACAGTTGGAGGAGACAAAAGAAATAAGAATAAAAAAAAATGAAGCAAGCTCTAGAAACTGAAATGATCTAAAAAATAGCATAAAATGGGCAAATGTAAAAGTTATTGGCCCTAAAGAACAGGTAGAGAAAGAGGTAGGTGTCGAAAAACCGTTGAAAGGGGTAATAACAGAGAGCTTCCAAAACCTAGAGAAAGATATCAATATCCATGTATAGGAAGGTTATAGAACACTAAGCAGATAACCCCCAAAAAGTACCTCAAGGCATTTAATAATTAAATTCCCAAAGGTCAAGGATAAAGAAAGGATCCTAAAAGCAGCAAGACAAAAGAAACAAATAACACAAAGGAGCTCCAATACATCTGGCATCAGATTTTCAGTGGAAATCTTATAGGCCAAAAGAGAGGTTCATGACATATTTAAAGTGCTAAAAGAAAAGAAAACTTTTACCCTAGAAGAGATCCAGTAAAAATATCCTCCAAACATGAAGCAGAAATAAAGACTTGCCCAGAAAAATAAGAAAAAAAAAAACAACCTGAGGGATTTCATCAACACCAGACCAGTCCTACAAGAAATGCTGAAGGGAGTATTCCAATCAGAAAGAAAAGGACATTAATGAGTAATAAGTAATCACTTGAAGGTACAAAATTCACTGGTAATAGTAACTACATTGAAAACCATAAAATATTACAACACTGTAATTGTGGTATAAAAATAAATAATTAACAAATAAAAAATAATAACTACAACATTTTAAGACATACACAGTGCAATAAAACATAAAGAGAAACAACAGAATGTTTAAAAGTAGGGCGAAGAAGTTATGGCGTAGAGTTTTTGTTAGTTTTATTTTTCTTTATTTGTTTCTGCAATTAGTGTTACGTAGTCATCAGTTTAAAACAATGAGTTATAAGATAGTACTTGCAAGCCTTATGGTAACCTCAAATTGAAACACATACAACAAATATCCAAAAAATTAAATCATACCACCAGAGAAAATAACTTTCAAAAAAATGAAGACAGAAAGGAATCAAAGAAGGAAGACAAAACCACGAGAAAATAAATAACAAAATGGCAGGAGTAAGTCCTTACTTATCAGTGATAATATTAAATGTAAATGAACTAAACTGTGTCAAAAGACACAGACTGACTGAATGATTGAAAAAACAAGACCCACAAACTCTTGCCTACAAGAAACACATTTCAACTATAAAGATAACACATAGACTGAAAATAAAGGGATGGAAAAAGATATTCCATGCAAAAAGAAACAAAAAAGAATAGGAATATTTATATCAGACAAAATATATTTTAACAAAAAAACTGAAAGAAGGAATAAAGTCTGATAAAGAGGTCTATTCAGCAAGATGTAGTAATGATTGTAAATATATATGCAACCAACAGTACAACACTCAGATATATAAGATAAATATTATTAGAACTAAAGACAGACATAGACTCCAATACAATAATGGCTGGAGATTTCAACACCCACTTTCAGCATTGGACAGATCTTCCAGACAGAAATCAACAAAGAAATACCAGACTTAATCTGCACTATAGAACAAATGGATCTAATATATATTTACAGGACAGTTCATCCAATGGCTGCAGAACACACATTCTTCTCCTTAGCAAATGAATCACTGTCAAGGATAGACCATATGCCAGGTCACAAAACAAGTCTTAAAACATAAAACAAATTAACGTAATACCAAACATCTTGTCTGACCACATTGGAATAAAACTAGAAATCAATAACAAGAGGAATTGTGGAAACCATACCAACACATGGAAATTAAACAGTATGCGCCTGAATGACCAGTGGGTCAATGAAGAAATTAAAAATAAAAGATAGTAGAAATCCAACATATCAAAAGCTATGGGATACAGTCAACAGAATACTAAGATGGAAATTTGTAGTTATAAGTGTCTGCATCAAAATGAAAAAAAAACTTCAAATAAATTACCTAATGATGGATCTTAAGGAACTAGAAAAGAGAAAACAACCCCCAAATTAGTATAAGAAAAGAAATAATAAGGATCAGAGCAGAAATAAATGAATTTGAAATAAAAAAATACAAACTATCAATAAAACAGAAATTTAGTTTTTTGAAAAATTAAACAAAATTGACAAATCTCTAGCAAGACTAATGAAGAAAATAAGGGAGAAGTCTCAAATAAAATCAGAGATAAAAAAGAAGACATTACAACTGATACTGCAGAAATTCAAAGGATCATTCATGGCTACTATGAGCAATCATATGCCAATAAATTGGAAAATCTATAAAAAATAGATAAATTCCTAGACACTTATAACATACCAACATTGAACCACGAAAAAATCCAAAACCTGAAAAGACAAACAAGTAACGAATTCGAAGCTGTAATAAAAAGTTTCCCAGTAAAGTAAAGCCAGGGACCTGGTGGCTTCACTGCTGAATTCTACCAAACACGTAAAGAAAAACTAATACCAATCCTACTCAAACTACTCCAAAAAATAGAGGAAGAAGGAATACTTTCAAACTCATTCTAAGAGACCAGTATTACCCTGATACCAAAACCAGACAAAGACACATCGAAAAAAACAAAACTATAGGCCAATATCACTAATGAATATTCATGAAAAATTCCTCAATAAAATACTAGCAAGCCAAAGTTGGCAATACATTAAAAGGATTATTCATTATGATCAGGTGTGATTTATTCCAGAGATGCAAATGTTGTTCAACATATGCAAATCAATCAATGTAGTACAACATAATGACAAAATGAAGGACAAAACCATATGCTCTTTTCAATCGATCTTAAAAAAGCATTTGATAAATCAACATTCTTTCATGATAAAAACCTTTAAAAATATTGGTATAGAAGGAACATACCTCAACATAACATAAGCCATATGAAACAGACTCATAGCTAGTATCATACTGAATGAGAAAAAAATGAAAGCCTTACCTCTAACTTCTGGGACACAACAAGGATACCTACTTTTCCCGTCATTGTTCAGCATGGTACTGGAAGTCCTAGCTATAGCAATCAGACAAGAGAAAGAAAAAAGGGTCATCCAAATTGAGAGGGAAGAAGTCAAATTATTCTTGTTTGCAGATTATATGATCTTATATTTGTAAAACCATAAATACTTCACAAAATAAGTATTACAACTGAAAAACAAATTTAGTAAAATTGCAGGATACATAATCAACATACAAAAATCAGTAGCATCTGTATGTGCCAATAGTGAACAAATTGAAAAATATATCAAGAAAACAATGCCATTTACAATAGCTACAAATAAAATAAAATACTTAGGAATTAACTTATCCAAAAAGTGAAAGATCTCTACAATGAAAACTATAAAACAGTGATGAAAGAAATTAAAGAGCATACCAAAATATGAAATGATATTTCATGTTTATGGATTGGAAAAACTAATACTGTAAAAATGCCCATACTACCCAAAGCAATATATAGACTTAAGGTAGTCACTATCAAAAATGAGCTTCTTCATGGAAATGAAAAAAAAAATTCCTAACATTTTTATGGAACCATAATTTTAAAAGACTCAGAATAGCTAAAATTATCCTAAGCAAAGAGAACAAAACTGGAGGAATCACATTACCAAACTTCAAATTTTATTACAGCGTTATACTGGCCAAAACAGCATGGTAGTGGCATAATAACAGACACATCAATAGTGGAACAGAATAGAGAAGTCAGAGATAAAGTCATACATTTACAGTGAACTCATTTTTAACAAAGGGGCCAAGAACATACATCAGGGAAAGGACAGTCTCTTCAATAAATGGTGCTGGGGAAACTGGAAATTAATATGCGAAGGAAAGAAACTAGACCTCTATTTTCCATCATATACAAAAATCAAATCAAAATGGATTGAAGACTTAAAGCTAAGTTCTCAAACTATGAAACTAATAAAGAAAACATTGGGGAAGCTCTCCAGGACATTGGACTGGGCAAAGATTTTTTTGAGTAACACCCCACAAATACAGGCAACCAAAGCAAAAATGGACCAATGGGATCACATCAAGTTAAAATGTTTCTGCACAGAAAAGGAAACATCAACAAAGTGAAGAAAAAGCCCACAGAATGGGAGAAAATATTGGCAAACTACCCATCTGACAAGGGATTAATAATCAGAATATATAAGGAGCTTAAACAACTCAATAAGAAAAAAAACCTAATAAACTGATTTAAAAATGCATAAAAGATCTGAACAGACATTTCTCAAAAGAAGACATACAAATGGGAAACTGGTATATAAAAAGGTGCTCAGCGTCATTGATCAGAGAAATGCAAATCAAAACTACAATGAGATATCATCTCACCCCAGTTATGAAATGGCTTATATCCAAAAGACAGGCAATAAATGCTGGAGAGGATGTGGTTGGTAGGCTATTCATTACTGCCTCAATTCAGAACTTGTTGCTGGTCTATTTAGGGATTTGACTTCTTCCTGATTTAGGCTTGGGAGGGTGTGTGTGTCCAGGAATTTATAAATTTCTTCTAGATTTTCTACTTTATCTACCTAGAGGTGACAGTAGCTGTGTGGAAAAAATGGTAAGACAAGGAGAAGCTAGAGACAGCTGTGACAGATTGGACTGTAGTTAATTGACAATAGAAGAATGAAAATATGGGTCATAGAATGAAAAAGTAACAGAAAAATATTAAGAAAAGTAGTAAGAAAATGGTCAGATATATTTGGCAATAATTTGTCATAATATAGTGCATTACACCAGACTACTTTATCAAAATTGGAAACACCTTAACAGTTGAATGGTTTCAGTAGTCAATAGGCTTCTTAGTCCAAAGTGAAAACTTGCCTTGGCTACTTTACCTGAGTAACCTAAAATATAAGGTGTATATTCGTAATTAAAGGTTAAAATCTAACTCTAGTTTCATCCATTGTCATTATTTTATTTGAGAGACCTATGGGTGGTTGTATTAGAGATTAAAATTTTTTGACATTTAAATTGATTTCAAAAGTAAGAAAATGAAATTGTCAAGCTTGTTTGGACACATTATATGCCTGTTAAGAGATATGTAGGGTAAGGTCAGTTGTGTTAGCTCTTGGCTGTAATCTCAGCACGTTGAGAGGCTGAAGTGGGAGGATTGTTTGAGGCCAGGAATTAGAGACCAGCCTGGACAGCATAGCAAGACTGTCTCTACAAAAAATAAATAATAAAAAAAAAAAGTTAGCTGAGAGTAGTGGTGCACACTTATAGTCCCAGCTACCTGGGAAGCTGAGGTGGGAGCATCACTTGAGCCCAAGAGTTCAAGGTTACAGCAAACTATGATTGTACCACTGCACTCCAGCCTAGATGACAGAGCAAAATTTGTCTCTAAAAAAAAGAAGAAGAAAGAAAAGGAAGTAAGATGAAACTGAAAAGGCCTGAGTAAAGGCTTTTAATCAAAATGTCCTGAGATTAAGGGAGACTTTTAATTGCTTTTTTGTATGCATGCTTGTGTGTTTTCAGCAATAAAAATGTAAAATTTAGTTTGCATTTATTGATATACACAGACTGCATAGTTTATTAGTTTCTAGCTTTTCTAAATTGCTGGGGAGGCTTACATGTGTGATCTTGCAAGGGATGTGCTGAAAACTGAAAAGAAATAATCAAGGAATATTATTTAGCCCAGTAGGCAAGAACATAGGACACATGCACAAGACTGAAGCATTGAGCGTTTACACTAAACAAATTCTCAAGTCCCTTTTAAACCTGAAAGTCTATAATTCGTTTGTGTCAGAAGCAATATTTGTCTTTTAATACACTAACCAAGTGTTGAATTTTTTTTCATTCTAAGTGGCTTGCATCTAGGGCTGAGTGAATCCAGTTGGAAGGACCTATTTGTTTCAATATTGTATCATGAACTGGGCCTAATCAGGCTCTTAATCTAGTGATAAGTGAGAAACCTTTATTCAATGGACTATAACTGGGCTCAGATTAATTTTGGTTAGTATTTTTCCCATAAGACATAGGTAGCACCTTCATAATCTCAATTGATGATGCTTATTGGGCAACTAATTTAAGCACTGTATTGATCTTTATACTAATGTGCCCTAAAAAGGGAAACTTATGTGCGTTCAATAATGAATAATAAAGCAGACTCCTTCTAATGCATTATTTCCTAGTGAACAAGGTGACTCAGGTATTACTGAATAGCGAGTAAAGAAACATAATAAATACAGAGTTTGGGGAAGTAAAATGAATTAAAGGCATAACACTGCTTTTCTCACTAAGAATTATGTTATTATTTTATTTTTAGAGAAAACCAAATGGAATAAAATATAAAAAATAAATACTTGTAAATAAATTCATTAACTTTTCTTAGCAAGCCATAGGAAATGACAAAAATACGATTTATTGAGAATATTTTTCCAAGTGAATGTGGATTCCCAGTTTTTAAACTAAAATTTATACATAAAACCTTAAAGGTAGCACATTCTCATCTAAAGATACTTGTATTGCTTTTGTACAGGTGACATGTAAATCATAAAGATTGTTTACTATAAAGTTGATATCCTATCCCTTTAAATCTGTTCAACCTCTTGTCACTCACCCTGTGCTTTCAAAGAATAACATAAATGAAATTATGTCCATTAACTTGAGAACAATCAAGAAAGTATAACAAAAGACCATGACACAGGTAAGTAGAAGGCTGAAGGTTTAGTGAGAAGTGAGTTTTGTCTCGATTTGGGTTCATATGTAAAGACCATTACTTAGTAATCAGCTGTGTGACCATGGACAATTTCCTGTTCGTCTGCAAAATGAATATTGTAAATTAGATCTTTTCAAAGTTCCCTTCTAGTTTTAATGTTACATGAAATAATTTTGTCATAAAATTGTAGAAGACAGATCAAATTCATTGTGTTAAATTCTACACTTCTGCCTTTAAGTCACTTTTTGTACCCAAACGTTGACCACTTCTTATTTCACTTAATAAATATCTGCCATAACTGTACCTTCTTCTCTGTCTTTCTCTCATTCCATCACCTTAGATTATGGTTAACTTCTCTCCAGCTGAACTGGCTATCTTTAGTTTGAGCTGCTGTAAATGATAAAAACTATAGTTTCTAAGATCATGTATATAAAATGGAAATCGCTTTAGATTTCTGATGTTAGCAAGTTTGTGTTTGAGCCACAATCTATTTATAGGTAGAAATTGGGTTATTTTATTTCATTCTGATCCAGGATTGTTTTTTAGGTCAAATCAGATATTGTCCCATTCAAAGCCTATCTGTAAGCCTAAGTAGCAGTTACGGCCAATTGTAGTTCTAAAGCTGTTGAGGGTAAGGGAGGAACGAACAGGCAAAGCATAGGGGATTTTTAGGGCTGTGAAACTCCTCTGCTGGAATCTATTAAAATAATGATGGATATATGTCCTTATACCTTATACATTACCCTTACCTAAATCTTAGCAACCACTCATCCTTTTACTATTTCCACAGTTTTGCCTTTCCCAGAATGTCATATAGTTAGAGTTATACAGTATCTAGCATCCTCAGATTGGCATTTATCACTTAGTAATATACATTTATATTTTCTTCTTGTCTTTTCATGGCTTGATAGCCACTTCTTTTCAACAATACATTCTATTGTGTGGATATACTGTAATTTATTTACCCATTTGCCTACTGAAGGAAACCTTGCATATTTCCAAGTTTTTGTCAATTAAGAATAAAGCTGCTATAAGCATCCATGTGCAGGTTTTCAGGTGGACATATGTTTTCAACAAATCTGGGAAGATATTGAGGGGCATAATTGCCATATGTTTAGTTTTGTAAGCAACTGCTAAACTAACTTTCAAAGTGGCTGTTCCATTTTGTATTCTTACCAGCAAGGGATGAGAATTTTTGTTGTTCCTTATCCCTGCCAGCATTAGGCGTTGTCAGTCTTCCAAACTTTCCCATTCTAATAGACATGTAAGAGTATCTCATTATTGTTTAAATTTGCATTTCTTAGATGTACATTTTTCACTTTTGATATTGAGTCTCCTTTCTGCATGTTCAGGAACAGTACAAAAAATCCCAGAACCAATGTATGAGTGCCAGCATTTGGGACTTTGGGAGGTACAAAGAATTAATAACAAAAACTACCCTTCAAAAATCCTATATTGTCTTTTGTTTTTATCTGGGAAAAAAAAATGTCATTTTTTTGGTCCTTGTTCATGGTTGGGTAGTGTAGCACACTTCTCTCTCATATAGGAGCCATGTTGATTTTTAAAATTGATATAATTATAATTAAGATCATTAAGAAAACTTCTATCATGTGTTGGCTTCATAATATTTGATAAAAAGATTTAGCAATAGGTGATATAGTTATAATGGAGCCTGAAGACTGAATACGTCTTGAAAAAGTACAAACTCATATACAGCTTTAAGAAGAGCAAGGCTTCTGATCTCCCAGAAGATAAATTCCAGTGAAAGATATTGCACAGTGGAATTTACCCTCTAGTCATAATTCTTTCAATGACTCAATAATCATTCATGGGACACATGCTGTGAAAAGCACTCTACTAATTGGTGGGAATAGATAATTAAAAAGCTATGTTTCTTGCCTTCAGAGATCTCACAGTTGAGTAGACCATGCAAGCTAAGTGCAGTATAGTATACTGATTGTTATTTTAGTGATCTCCTTTACATATAAATTGCATATAAAACAAATTTTCAGAAGTCATTTATTTAATCAGAGATTTTGAGGCCAGATTCCATCTGAAGTATTTCTTGCAGTAATTCTGAAAAGTGTAGATACATTGGGAATATGGGTAATTATAAATCTATATTTTCACTAACGGAAAATGGACCTAAATTACATATAAAAAAGCTTATAGATTTCAAATCATCCATTTAAAACTTTAATTGTGAGCCATGTATGTTGCCTAAAAAAACATGCTTACTGTGATGTTTTATTGTCTTTACTGAATTTAAAATATCATCCATTCCAACTTGTTCCTCCAAGGATGAACAGTGGAAAGTTCTATTGTTCTGTAAGGTGTGGTAAACTAAATACGCTTATTTCTACAGGAAGATAAGCTGCTTCGCATTATAAGCTTTGCAATAAACAAGGACATCTGCTGACAAAAGGCATTTTTCTATAAAAATAAAATTGAAGGAGGTGTCTGCTCCAGATTCGTGAATAAAAGAATTATTCTCTGGAAATCAACTGAAATTTATATTGTTAGAAGTGTTTTTTCAAGGTATTCTCTTTGCTGTTTCCCACGGTTTAAAAAATATTATTATAACAAAATTATTATAACAAAAAATAATAATATTTTTTAAACCGTGGGAAACAGCAAAGAGAATACCTTGAAAAAACACTTCTAACAATATAAATTTCAGTTGATTTCCAGAGAATAAACCAAACACCGCATATTCTCACTCATAGGTGGGAATTGAACAATGAGATCACATGGACACAGGAAGGGGAATATCACACTCTGGGGACTGTGGTGGGATGGGGGGAGGGGGGAGGGATAGCATTGGGAGATATACCTAATGCTAGATGACGAGTTAGTGGGTGCAGCACACCAGCATGGCACACGTATACATATGTAACTAACCTGCACAATGTGCACATGTACCCTAAAACTTAAAGTATAATAAAAATAAATAAATAAATAAAAAATAAATAAATAAAAAATATTATTATTTTTTGTTATATAGCAATATGCAGTCTAATAAAATCAATAGTAATTAGTTTAATAAATAGTAAACAGAGAAAGTGATACAATATTATTAGAAAACAGAAAAGCAATTTTTACAGAATGACTCTATTTTTTGATTATAAACATAATTCATGTATTGTACAAAAATATGAAAATTAAAAATAGCAATCAGAAATAATCTTATGATTCAATCATTTAAATATGAAATTATTTCAAAATTTTTTGAGCACAGTTTTTAATAAAATCTAAAGCTAAAAATGTTCATGTTATTAAATCAATAAATATTTAGAAATTTAGCAGCAAATGTGAGATTTTTGAATAAAAAATTATAAACTGCTGGTGGCATTGTAATTCTGAAAACCATTTTTGAAAAACCATATGGAAATATTATAAAGTATATAAATATTTATGCCTATTAAATCAGTTATGCTTCCTCTAATAATTTACCATAAATAAATGTTTGTTTTCTTATGTTAAATTCTTAGGAAACACATAACTGGGTCAACGGGTATGAATATTTATACATCATAGTGATTGCAGTTGATAACAATATATTGTATACTTAAAAATAGTTAAGAGAATGGATTTTAAGTATTCACATACAAAAAATAAGTATGTGAGGTAATGTTTATGCTAAGTAGTTTGATTTAGCCACTCCTCAATGTATTCATATACCAAAACTTTATGTTTTACACCATAAATATACATAAATTTTACTGATCAATTAACATAAATAAAAATGAATTTAAAAATAAAGAAAACATAATTCAACCTAAAGAAAAAGTTATTTGAATGGATATTCATTTTAAAATTAAATATAACAACCACAATGTGGAAAATTCCAATGTTAATAAGTATATTATGCTATGGATACTGAGAATCAAAATTATGAATGTTGTATCAAAACACTAAATTCTAAAAACAAAATATATGGGCTGGGCACAGTGGCTCACACCTGTAATCCTGGTCCTTTGGGAGGCTGAGATGGGAGGATGGCTTGAGCTGAAGAGTTTGAGACCAGCCTGGGCAAAATAATGAGAGACCTTGCCTCTACAAAAAATTAAAAATGTAGCTGGATGTGGCAGCACGTGCCATAGTCCTAGCTACTTGGGAGGCTGAAACTGCAGGATGGTTTGAACCCAGGAATTTGAGGCTGCAGTCAGCTATAATTGCCCTACTGCACTTCAGCCCCCGGGACAGAGTGAGACCCTGTCTCTAAAAATGAAAAATGTCTATTTAGGATATTTGCCCATTTTATAATTTGGTTATTTGCTATTGTTTGAGGTCTTTAAATATTTTTGCATATTAACCTCTTAGTAGATGTCCGATTTGCAAATATTTTCTCCAGTTCCAATTCTCAACATCACTAACCAAAAGGAAATTTTAAATTAAAACCTCAATAAAATCACCTCACACCTGTTCAAACAGCTACTACCAAATAGACAAATGAAAAGTGTTGACAATGATGTGGAGAGAGACGATATTAGGCAGATATAAGACCTTTGCCAGATGCATACTTTGCAAAAATTTTCCTCCAGTCTGTAGATTGTCTGTTTACTCTGTTGATAGTTTCTTTTGCTGTGTAGAGTTTAATTAGTTTAATTAGATCTCACTTGTCAATTTTTGCTTTTGTTGCAGTTGCTTTTAGCATCTTCATCATTAAATCTTTGCCCTTGCTTATGTCCTAAATGGTATTGTCTATGTTGTCTTCCAGGGATTTTATAGTTTTGGGTTTTATATTTAAGTCTTTAATTCATCTTGAGTTAATTTTTGTATATGTGTAAGAAATGGGTCACATTTTAATCTTTGGGATATGGCTAGCCAGCTATCCCAGAACTATTTATTGAATAGGGAATCCTTTTCCCATTGCTTGTTTCTGTCAGGTTTGTCAAGGATCAGATAGTTGTAGGTGAGTGGTCTCATTTCTGGGTCCTCTATTCTGTTCCATTGGTCTATGTGTTTGTTTTTGTACCAGTACCACACTGCTTTGGTTACTGTATCCCTGTAGTATAGTTTTAAGTCAGGTAACATGGCTATTCGGGCTCTCACTAAACTAGGTACTGAAAGAACATACCCCAGAATAATGAGTCAACTATGACAAACCCACAGACAACATTACACTGAAATGACAAAAGATTCCCCTTGATAACTGGCACAAGACAAAAATGCCCTCTCTCACCACTCCTGTTCAACATAGTATTGGAAGTTCTGGCCAGGGCAATCAGTCAAGAGAAAGAAATAAAGAGTATTCAAATAGGAAAAGAGGAAGTCAAATTGTCTCTGTTTGCAGATGACATGATTGTATATTTAGAAAATCCCATCCTCTCAGCCCAAAAGCTTCTTAAGCTGATAAGCAACTTCAGCAAAGTATCAGGATACAAAATCAATGTGCAAATGTTGCTAGCAATCCTGTACACCAACGACAGTCAAGCTGAGAGTCAAATCATATATGAACTCATATTCACAACTGCCACAAAAGGAATAAAATACCTAGCAATACAGCTAACAAAGGAAGTGAAGGACCACTACAAAGAGAACTACAAACCACTGCTCAAAGAAATTAGAGATGATGCAAACAAAGGGAAAAACATTCCATACACATGGATAGGAAGAATCAATATCATTAAAATGACCATACTGCCCAAAGCAATTTATAGATACAATGATGTTCCCATTAAACAACCACTGACATTTTTCACGGAACTAGGAAAAACTATTTTAAAATTCATGTGGAACCAAAAAAGAGCCCAAATAACCAGGGCAATCCTAAGCAAAAAGAACAAAACTGGAGGCATCATGTTACCCAACTTCACAGTATGCTACAGGGCTACAGTAACCCAAACAGCATTGTACTGGTAAAAGAACAGACACATAGACTAATGGAATATTGAAAACCTAGAAATGAGACTGTACACCTACAACTATCTGATCTTTGACAACCCTGACAAAAAAAAACAATGGGTAAATGATCCTCTATTTAATAGTTGGTGCTGAGATAACTGGCAAGCCATATGCAGAAAATTGAAAGTGGAACTCTTCCTTACACCATATACAAAAATCAACTCAAGTTGGATTAAAGACTTAAATGTAAAACCCAAAATTACAAAAACCCTAGAAGAAAACCTGGGCAATATTATTCAGGACAGGCACTGGCAAAGATTTCATGACAAAGTTTCCAAAAACAATTGAAACAAAAGCAGAACTTGACAAATGGAATCTAATTGAACTAAAGAGCTTCTGTACAGCAAAAGAAACTATCATCATTATTAAGATGGCAGATAGGAGGCAGGACTAGCTTGCAGCTCCTGCTCTAACAGACACAGCAGTGTTTGCAGACTCACATCATGAATTTTTGCTTCAAGAACTACCACAGGAACATACCAGGAAGCCAAAATCATCCACAGCCCCTTTGAAGGACCTGGATCATCCCAGCAGGCTCCCTGAGATGCCAAAACACTGTGGGTCTGCTTGCTTTCTCAACAGGGAGGCTTCTGGTCTGCAGCAAGTTGTCAGCCCTGGTCACCGCTGCCTGGAAATACACTTGGTGCTGTTGCTGGTGGGGCAGGGGGTGGCGGGGTGGAATGGTGGGAGTGAGACCAGCCTTTAGGACTGCTGGCTGTGTGGGAGTGGGGTGAGGCCTGTGACTGCCAGCTTTCCCCCATTTTCCTGGCAACTTGTATGACTCAGCAGAGGCAAGCTAATCCCCCTGGGAATATAACTCCATTGGACTGGAAACCACATCCCCATTTTCACAGCAGCCACAGCAAGCCCCATCCAAGGAGAGGCTGAGCTTAGACACACCTATTCCTGCCCCCACAAGGTGGTCTTTATCAGTCCTGGAAGCCAAGACAAAGGTTATAATCCCTTGGGAGCTCTATGGCCCTTCCCACTGCCTGAGAAACCTGAATACTTAACCAGGGGTCCCTAGGGCAAGTGTGCATCCTCCATATAAGACCATAGCTGATGCATTCTTGAAAGTGCCACCTCCTGGCTGGAGGCCAAGCAACACAAAACCAGCACACTCAACAAAAACACAACCAAGGACCCTCACAGAAGCTACTTCACGCCCCTGCTACCTCAACTGGAGCAGGTGCTGGTAGCCACGGCTGCAAGATCTGAAGATGGATCACATCACAGGACTCTTTGCAGACACTCTCCAGTACCAGCCCAAAGCCTGGTAGCTCCGCTGGGTGGCTAGACCCAGAAGAGAAAAAACAATCACTATAGTTCACCTCTCAGAAAGCCTGGTTCCTAGAGGAAGGGGGAAAACACCATATCAAGGGAGCACTCTGTGGGACAAAAGATGAACAGCAGCCCTTGAATCCCAGATCTTCCATCTGATATAGTCTACCCAAATGAGAAGGAACCAGACAAACAATTCTGGTAACATGACTAAACAAGATTCTTTAACATCCGCAAAAGATCCTACCAGCTCACCAGCAATGGAGGCAAATCAAGATGAAGTTTCTCAATTGGCAGAAAAAGAATTCAGATGGTTGATTATTAAGCTAATCAAGGAGGCACCAGAGAAAGATAAAGTCCAACTTAAAGAAATCAAAAACATGATGCAGAATATGAAAGGACAATTATTCGGTGAAATAGCCTAAATAAAAACTGTCACAACTTCTAAATATCAAGGACACACTTAGAGAAATTCAAAATCCCCTGGAAAGTCTCAGGAATAGAATCAAACAAGCAGAAGAACTTTAGAGCTCAAAGACAAGGATTTTGAATTAACCCAATACATCAAGGACAAAGAAAAAATGAATTAAAAAAATGAGCAAAGCTTCTAAGAAGTTTGGGATTGTGTTAAACCTCCAAATCTAAGAAAAACTGTTCCCAAAGAAGAAGAGAAATATAAAAGTTTGGAAACAATATTTAAGGGAATAATCGAAGAAAACTCCCCTGGCTTTGCTAGAGATCTAGACATCCACATACATGAAGTTCAAATGACACCTGGAAAATTAATCAAAAAAAGATCATCACCTAGGCACACAGTTATCAGGTTATCTAAAGTCAAGA